>NC_000010.11:82718852-82870368 GCF_000001405.40 Homo sapiens
AGGGAAGTTTTAGAGTAGGTCATTAAAGTTGTAATTGTAGTGCAAATTTTTTTAGATCGAGGTCTGGTAATAAATCCCCCAGAAACCTTTATATAATGTAGCTTTCTTTATTTAAAACCAAGGCACAGAATGAAAAAACTAGAGCTTTGTATCTTCAAAAACGTTTATGAGCTTTATAAGTAATGAGTAGGCATGGCTCTCTTTTGTGCACCAGACCAGGGCCATTAGAGGAAATGAGTGCCCAGAGGGGATAAATCACTCTCCCCAAAGTGCAGTGAGGAAGTAGTGAATGGGAGTGTGTATACCTGTGCACATGCAGTTGTGTGAGAGTGAGAGTGTTTGTGGTGGAGGTGTGTGTATTGGAAGTAATAGTGTAGATTCCAAAAGAAGATGGATGCAGAGGTTTGCTATTCTAGTTTTGATAAATTTAAGACCTCTATTATGTGGAATGATTAGGGGAAAAACCTTTTGCTGTTAGTGTTACAAAAACATGCATGAGTGTTTATGTTCTATAGATAAAGATACATACCTTAATGTATGCTATATAGAATATATGGTCAAGCCAGCTGATCTGTAAACCTGTGTGCTCTTAGATCCATGTCCTGGCCCTTCTTCTATTCTGTTCCCTATTTCAGAGCACCACATTTCTTAGGCTCTCTTGACCAACGGCTTTGAGGGGAGTTGGCCAGTAGGAAGCACTAAATGTGAAGGCTCTCTATCTTTCTGTTTTGTCTGTTTTTCTGGTTCACTTCCAACAGCAGCTAGGTTCATCTAGGGTTTCAGCTCCTGTCTGATAGACCCATTGGTTTTACTTTAGTCTCTGTGACTCAGACGTCTCCCTTTCTCCCTTCAGCCTAGGGATGAGAATGGCTTCATGCTGTTGCCAGTCCCTGTTACTTTATCATCCCCTGCTTAGCTTCTTGCCACTTCTTCAGCTGTGTAGTCAATTGCCTTTATTAAATTTTCTCATTTCAGATACTTAAAGAGGTTTCTGTTTTCTGGGTATACCAACTCTTGCTTTCTCAGTATATTTAATATTGAGTGAGCATATGAATTGAGAGATTAGGATATTAGTACATATTAAATCTAAATCTATATTAAATATCACTGTAATTTTCCTTTAGACATTTTCAGATTGACTTAACTGTGCCATTAAGTGACTGTGGGAAATCATTAAACTCGTGGTCTTACTTTAACCTTTATCTGTACAATAAGTCTAAAATGATAGGCTTGACTTACCTCAAAAGATAGTTAAGGCTGGGCACAGTGGCTCATGCCTGTAATCCTAGCACTTCGGGAGGCCGAGGTGGGCTGATCACCTGAGGTCAGGGGTTCAAGACCAGCCTGGCCAACATGGCAAAACCCCATCTCTACTAAAAATACAAAAATTAGTTGGGTGTGGTGGCGCATTCCTGTAATCTCAGCTACTTGGGAGGCTGAGGCAGGAGAATCCCTTGAACCCGGGAGGCAGAGGTTGCAGTGAGCTGAGATTGCGCCACTGCACTCCAGCCTGGGTGACTGGTCTCAAAAAAAAAACAAAACTAACAAATTAATAATAAAATGGAGCACTTGAGAAATATGCATAACACTGTGTAAGTGCTCAAGAGCAACAAGAGAAAGAGAAATAAACATAAGTCTCCATTGTTGGTTTAATGTTGAAATCAAATCTAAGCTTTAACATATGCTTTTCATGTGCCCTAGAACACCGAGGTTGATTCAACTTCAATCTCTAAACCTACAAAATAGTGGTAACAACATCTCCTTCTCAACAGTGTCATGAGGGTTACTTTACCTAACCTTTGTAATGCTCTCAGCACATGGGGATTGCATAGAATGGGTCTTCAAGGAGGTTGGTTCTTTCTTCATCTATTCCTCAGCAAGATGTAGAAGTTCTTTCTGATAGCACTCCCTGGTCAATTTATTCCTAAGTAAAACACATATATAGGAGTATTTTATACATATATATATATATATATATATATATATATATCACCCATCACTTGATTAACTGAATCTCTCTCTCTCTTTTAGCAGAAACTAATCACCATGTATTTATTGAGTTCAAGTCACTGCTCATCTCTGAGATTCCATTTCAACTTGTCAAACACTCCAGTTAAATAGTATTCCTCTGAATTTCACTTTGAATTTACTGTATATGGATATCTATTTAATTTTTGCCAACTTACTTGTTCCAGGTTGCATTTTGCTTTTTTATTTTTATTTATTTGTTTTTGTTTGTTTGTTTATTTATTTTGAAACAGAGTTTCACCCTTTTTTTTTTTTTTTTTTTTTTTTTTGAGATGGAGTCTCCCTCTGTCACCCAGGCTGGAGTGCAGTAGCGTGATCTCCGCTCACTGCAAGCTCCACCTCCCAGGTTCACGCCATTCGTCTGCCTCAGCCTCCCGAGTAGCTGGGACTACAGGTGCCCTCCACCATGCCCGGCTAATTTTTTGTATTTTTTTTTTTTAGTAGAGGCGGTGTTTCACTATGGTAGCCAGGATTGTCTCGATCTTCTGACCTCGTGATCCGCCTGCTTCGGCCTCCCAAAATGCTGGGATTACAGGCGTGAGCCACCGCGCCCGGCCTTGAAACAGAGTTTCACTCTTGTCGCCCAGGCTGGAGTGCAATGGCACGATCTTGGCTCACTGCAACCTCCACCTCCCGGGTTCTGTCAATTCTCCTGCCTCAGCCTTTCGAGTAGCTAGGATTACAGGCACCCTCCGCCACACCTGGCTAATTTTTGTATTTTTAGCAGAGGCGTGGTTTCACGGTGTTGGTCAGGCTCGTCTGGAACTCCTGACCTCAGGTGATCTGCCCATCTCAGCCTCCCAAAATGCTGGGATTACAGGCGTGAGCTACCACACCCAGTTCTTATTTGTTTTAATAAAAGGTCAACAATTTTATGCATATCACTATTTGAGAGAATATCCCCTACGTTGCCTTCTGTAGCTTACCTATCCTTACACATGTGTTTGTGTAATTTGCCCAGTTTCCACATGACATTCAGATTTAGAATGGTATGTCTCATTATGCAATCTTGCCCAAGCTAGTGACTTTGATATTGCCACCTCTTTTTGACCTTGCTTTGTTACAAGAAAAAAAAAAAAAAAATGGGAGGGGACATGTTACCCAAACTCTAGCCAGTTGAATTGTGCTGACTGCTTTCCAAAAGAACATATGTTCTCACTGGAAAGATTCAGAAAAATTTGGCATCAGGGATGGCATGTGGAATTTAGGAATAAGTCTTTGCTTTTTAAGAGGAAGTATGAAATAGAAGAAAGTACATTGAATTTAGAAACAGAACATGTGGGGCCTGGTTGTTGTTCGACCCCTTATGCCCTTTGATGTCTTAGGTAAGTCCCTCATCTTTGTTGAAACATGCTCTTTATTATTTCTTCTATCTCCACAATTCCATGGTATTAGAAAATGTTTATATTTGAGACAAAACCTGCACTTGCATCTATCTGCTTTAATTTGAATATTATATTTTTGTGTCTAAGATACGCTATAATATTGAGCGATTCTTGGTATTGAAAATCAAAGGAAGATGAGACATTATAAATGGGTCATAGTCAACAAAGCAAAGAATGTGCAACATTTATTAAAACTATTTGATCCATCTTATATTGCATCATCATTAAGTGTATTTTTTAGTTTTAAAAATGCAAAAAAATATAGATGTGGTCATAATGAAAAGCAATCAGTTATGGACCTATTTTTCTGCTCCAAGCCCCCACCCCTAATCTCCTCATTCACACCCTGAGCTCAACACACACAGGATAGCTTATTAAATCACTTCACTTGGGGTTTTTCTGGTTGTTAATTTCACATATATAAATAGCACACTAAGCCTCTATTTCTTGCTTTATCTACTTTAGATATGGAGCATTGATTTTCTACTGATAATGAGAATGAAAGTCATTTACTCCGCACCCCACTTCTTCTGTCTCCTCCCTGACTTTATCATTATTCTCAGTTTCCAAAGTTGGTCTTCATGACACACCTAATTGAGGATAATAGTATAGTTAAGAAACAGGGCTTACTGTGGAAAGCAGTTTGGAGATTTCTCAAAGGACTTAAAACTACTGTTCAACCCACCCGTCCCACTACTAGTATATATATATATTTAAGAGAAAATAAATTGTTCTACCAAAAGACCCATGCACTTGCATGTTTATCACAGCACTATTCACAACAGCAAAGACGTGGAATCAACCTAGGTGCTGATCAACAGTGGATTGGATAAGAAAAATGAGGTAATATACATCATGGAATACTACACAGCCATAAAAAGAATAAAATTACATCTTTCACAAAACATGGATGCAGCTAGAGGCCATTATCCTAAGCAAATTAGTATAAAAACAGAAAAACAAATATTGCATGCTCTCACCCATGAAAACTGAACAATGGGTTTACATGGACATAAAAATGGCAACAATAGACACTGGGGACTACTGGAGAGGGGAAGGATGGAGAGGGGCAAGGGTTGAAAAACTAACTATTGGATACTATGCTTCGTACCTGGGTAATGGGGTCGATTGAACCCCAGAATCTCAGCATCATGCAAAATACCCATGTTACAAACGTGCATATGTACACCCTGAATCTAAAATAAAAGTTTAAATTATGAGAAAACAAACAGAAAATATATTTGAAAAATATTTGTATCATTAACGTAAATTCATGTTGAAATGATAAAACATTTTGCCAATAAAAGTAATTTTAACTTGGAAAAAAAAATAGAATGATAGTCTATAAATGTGTGATAATTCCTGAAGCCTTTGGAAAATACGATAAATTTTAAAAATAAGATTTAATGATTTGTCTTTAAAAACATAAATAGTCCAGGCGTGGTGGCTCACGCCTGTAATCCCAGCACTTTGGGAGGCCGAGGTGGGCAGATCACTTCAGGTCAGGAGTTCGAGACCAAACTGGCCAACATGGTGAAACCCCATCTCTACCAAAAATACAAAAATTAGCCAGGCATGGTGGCACACACCTGTAATCCCAGCTACTTGGGAGGTTGAGACAGGAGAATCACTTGAACCTGGGAGGTGGAGGTTGCAGAGAGCTGAGATCACGCCACTGCACTCCAGCCTGGGCGACAGAGCGAGACTCCATCTCAAAAAAAAGTAAATAAATAAAAAAAATTTAAAAAATAAAAGCATAAATGAATGAATTGATGAATAAGTAAATAGCTTAGCTTCAGAAAAAAAAAGAAAAAAAAACAAGAAACAGGAATTTTTGTATAAAATTAAGATTGCTCTAGTTATATAATTCCCTGGTTTTCCCCCAACAAATTTTCAAACTTACAATAACAATTATATTTGACTGAGTGCCAATTTAAACCTATAGGCCTATGCTACTTTTTTTTTTTTTAAGACCAGACCTCCCTTTCATCTCAGTCTGAGGTACATGAGGCTTTTAATATGAAATCACTTTCCATTCGGTCCAAAGCTTCCTTGTTGCTGATGAATGTCATACATAATGAAAGATTATATCCATTTATCCTCAGCAGTAAATCATTTATCACACAAGGGGGATATATTATTGTGAATTCTGATCAAAGCTGCCCACTTCCTTTAGCCGGCAGAAATGCTGCACCCTGTTAGTTGATTGTACAATATCCTGGGAGAAATAGGGAAAATTATGCTGTTGAATGAGGGTTTGGCAACTCTAGGGGTTTCTAAAATGCCTTGTAGAAAAATCATGTTTCATGTAGAACCTTCTATGATTCAGGCATGTGAGCTGTAAAAGTCTTATTTTGCCTTCTTCGCTTAATTAAATCAGAAGGCTGTGGGACTTTTTTCAGCTTGCTCTGTGATGTCTGCAAACAGATTCCTGAATGACATCCTGTGGACACTTTGCCCCCTTTTTTAGAGAGACAATAATTATTACCACTTCTTTTTGAAGCATGCTGAGTGGTTTTATCAGTTGTTTGCTAATGAGCTCTGTCTCTCCTTTATAATGTCAATCATAAGGATGCCTTTTAAATACAACTTATCTCCCAGATTTATTTTCTTTTCATTCTTCCTGATCAAGGTACGTACTGTTTTGCTTCAGGGAATCATCTACACAACCCAGGCAGAGAAGGCTGGCCTCTTTGATCTCTTGTGGATAACACACTCTCTCCTTCTGAGAACAGAGCTTTCCAAAAAGGACATTACCACCCTCCAGATGAGTCTCTTCTTGTGTTTTATCTGTGATTTTAGGTTATCATTGCCCTCTGTTACACGTCTGTATTCACTGCTTTTCAAATTCAATAGCATGTAAGAGTCTCAGTATTAAAATTATCCTGAGTCAAGTGAGATACAGAATGAAGCAGGAACAATAGGTCTTTTCTTCCTTCCTTCTCTCTTGGGCTTCTGGCCAGCATGCTGGTATGGTTTGTTCAGATTTTATGCAAAGCTTTACCTGGCGATTCACCAAATCAAGTCAGAAACCTGCACCTAACATTTATAAACAACATTTCTTCATTTGATCATCACCTTATTCTTGAAGTAGCTTTCAGTGCTTTGGCTATTTAAGAAGTCAGTATTGAAATTCATATTCTACCCTTGCACACTGTGTGAGCTCACTATATCCCTTGTGTGGTGTATAGAGGAAGTATAATTTTCCCCAAGTGCCTTATCCTTAAAACAAGAGATAGCTAAATTGATCAGAACGGGATATCGTTATAGGAAAAATTGTATACATTAAACTTTAGGTGTTTCTGTTAATAGTTCCTACTACTGTGACTATTCAGATTATTGTATTCCAACATAGGTAAAATTGATGGATTTAGCAAATAAAATACAGTACACCTGTTCACATCTGAATTTCAGATAAACAATGAATGCATTTTTAGTATAAGTATGTCCCAAATATTGCTTCTAGGACACATACAAGAAATTGTTGTTTATCTGAAATTCAGATTTGAACAGGTGTACTGTATTTTACCTGGCAACACTACATATAGTAGAATTCACGTTCTAGTCTTTGCTAGTCTGTAGATATTACGTTCCCCTACTTGGTAACTCCTGTGAACTGAATTGTACTGCCCCTACACTGCTATTCACACGGTGAAGCCCTAACTCCCAATGAGACTGTATTTGGAGATAGGATCTTTAGGGGAAAATTAAGGTTAAATGAGGTCACAAGGATGGGGCCTTAATCCTGTAGCACTGTGGGCTTATAAAAAGAGAGAATCTCTCTTAGGTGAGGACTCAGCAAGAAGGTGGGGTCTGCAACCCAAGGAGAGAGCCCTCATCAAAACCCAATAATGCTGCACCTGAATCTTGGACTCCTAGTCTCCAGAAATTTGGGAAAATAAATATCTGTTGCCTAAGCCACCTGGTCTATGGTATTTTGTTACAGCAGCCCAACCTGATTTATACAGTAACTTTAGGATGTCTTACTAGGGCACAGTTTTATGTTTCTTGCTGAACTGAGATCTAGCAAGCATAGTCATTACCTTAGATATGGTATGGCTGTGTCCCCACCCAAATCTTATCTTGAATTATAACTTCCATAATTCCCATGTCATGGGAGGGACCCAGTGGGAGGTAATTGAATCATGGGGGCGAGTCTTTCCCGTGCGGTTCTCATGGTAATGAATGGGTCTCACAAGATCTGATGGTTTTATAAATGGGAGTTGCCCTGCCCTGCACAAGCTCTCTTTTTGCCTGCTGCCATTCATGTAAGATGTGACTTGCTCCTCCTTGCCTTCTGCCATGATTGGGAGCCTCCCCAGCCATGTGGAACTGTAAGTCCATTAAACCTCTTTTGTAAATTGCCCAGTCTCGGGTATGTCTTTATCAGCAGAGTGAAAATGGACTAATACATTAAATTTGTTACCAGTAGAGCGGGACCCTGCTGAAAAGATAACTGAAAATTTGGAAATAACTTTGGAACTGGGTAACAAGCAGAGGTTGGAACAGTTTGGAGGGCTCAGAACTAGAAAGGAAAACACAGGAAAGTTTGGAACTTCCTAGAGACTTGTTGAATGGCTTTGACAAAAATGCTGATAGTGATATGAACAATAAGTTCCAGGCTGAGGTGGTCTCAGATGAAGATGAGAAACTTGTTGGGAACTAGAGCAAAGCTGCCTCTTGTTATGTTTTACAAAGAGACTGGTGGCATTTTTCCCCTTCCCTAGATATTTGTGCAACTTTGAACTTGAGAGAGATAATGTAGGGTATCTGGTGGAAGAAATTTCCAAGCAGCAAAGCATTCAAGAGGTGACTTGGGTGCTGTTAAAGGCATTCAGTTTTATAAGGGAAGCAGAGCATAAAAGTTCAGAAAATTTGCAGCCTGACAATGTGATAGAAAAGAAAATTCAATTTTCTGAGGAGAAATTCAAGCTGGCTGCAGAAATTTGCATAAGTAACAAGGAGCCGAATGTTAATCCCCAAGACAATGGGGAAAATGTCTCCAAGGTATGTCGGAGATCTTCACGGCAGCCCCTCCCATCACAGGCCTGGAGGCCTAGGAGAAAAAAAAATGGTTTTGTGGGCCAGGCCTAGGGCCCCTCTGCTATGTGCAGTCTAGGGACTTGGTGCCCTGCATCCCAGCTGCTCCAGCCATGACTAAAAGGGGCCAAGGTACAGCTCAGGCCATGGCTTCAGAGGGTGCAAGCACCAAGCCTTGGCTTCCATGTGGTGTTGAGCCTGCAGGTACACAAAAGTCAAGAATTGAGGTTTGGAAACCTCTGCCTAGATTTCAGAGGATGTATGCAAATGCCTGGATGTCTGGGCAGAAGTTTGCTGCAGGGGCAGGATGCTCATGGAGAACCTCTGCTAGGGCAGTGCAGAAGGGAAATGTGGGGTTGAGGCCTTCACACAGAGTCCCTACTGGGGCACTGTCTAGTGGAGCTGTGAGAAGAGAGCCACTGTCCTCCAGACCCCAGAATGGTAGATCCACCAATTGCTTGCACTGTGCACCTGAAAAAGCTGCAGACACTCAATGGCAGCCCAAGAAAACAGCTGGGAGGGATGCTGTACTCTGCAAAACCACAGAGATGGAGCTGCCCAAGACCATAGGAACCCACCTCTCACATCATTGTGACCCAGATGAGAGACATGGTGTCAAAGGAGATCATTTTGGAGCTTTAAGATTTGACTGCCCTGCTGGATTTTGGACTTGCATGGGACCTGTAGCCCCTTCATTTTGGCCAATTTCTCCCATTTGAAACAACTGTATTTACCCAATGCCTGTGCCCCCAGTGTATCTAGGAAGTAACTAATTTGGTTTTGATTTTACAGGCTCATAGGCAGAAGGTACTTGCCTCGTCTCAGATGAGACGTTGGACTGTGGACTTTTGAGTTAATGCTGAAATGAGTTAAGACTTTGGGGGACTGTAGGGAACGCATGATTTGTTTTGGTTTTGAAATGTGAGGTCATGAGATTTCAGAGAGGTCGGGGTGGAATAATATGGTTTGGCTGTGTCCCCACCCAAATCCCATCTTGAATTGTAACTCCTGCAATTCCCACATGTCATGGGAGGGAGCCAATGGGAGGTAATTGAATCGTGGGGTCTGGTCTTTCCTATGCTGTTCTCATGATACTAAATGGGTCTCACAAGATCCGATGGTTTAAAAATGGGAGTTGCCCTGCACAAGCTCTCTTTTTACCTGCTACCATCCATGTAAGATGCGACTTGTTCCTCCTTGCCTTCTGCCATGATTGTGAGATCTCCTCAGCCATGTGGAACTGTAAGTCCATTAAACCTCTTTCTTTTGTAAATTTCCCAGTCTTGGGTATGTCTTTATCAGCAGGGTGAAAACAGACTAATACAACCTTTCTAGTCTGGACATGTTAGTCAATTACTCTTCTGATTCTGAGCAAGTAGAGACAACTGAAGGAATCTCCCAATGGTTGTCCCTTAAACGTCAAATTCTATGATTGGCTAATTTCTCAATTTTGATCATATCATAAATCAGAACAATAAAGAGAAATCATGGGGGGTAGATGTGACAATGAACCCAGCCTACTATTGGCTGAAAAATATTAAAGGCACTGATGGGAACATTTAATTGAGTAGACAAATGGGGGAGATAGCCTGACTGTCCTCTGACTTTGCTGTTAGCATCTAAATCTACCTAAATTATTGGATGTATTTACAAGGAATAAGGGCAGTGTTTGTTTGTGTGTGTGTGTGAGGGTGTGAGTGTGTGTAAAGGTACACAGAGCATGTACTAAATCAAGATTCAGTAACCCCATTTAGAAAGGAGCACCTGAGACTTCTGAGAGGTTAATCACAGGCCTCCATCACCCTTCTAAGTGGCAGAATTGGAGACCATCCTGCAGCCAAAGACATGCCTTTTCCTCCATAACTGACTACCTACATTGAAAACTAGAATCTCACATTTTTCACAATAGATCTTTTGTATACTAAGAAATCAGTAACAGTGCATTTCCTCAAATTGACATGAAGCAAAATTTCATCCATCTTCCAACAACCTGTCATTGTTACCCCCTCTAAACCTTTTCTTCTTCATAAGGGCAATTATTATTTTATTACCTCTGGTATGATATTAAAATTATGAAGACTTTCCTCCAAGGGGCCACCATATTACTGTCTCATTTACATTCTTATACTAAAAATAGATTTTTTTTTATACCAGATGTGGTAAAATCAAAGCTAAGTTAGACAGAATGGGTGATTCCTCCCACATAGCTGCTCTGGAGAACATCGCTATGCACCCTGAAGTGTACAGGGTGTTCATGCCCATGTTAGGTATTTTAGTTTTGTTAATGAGGTGGTGAGGTTGAGGTGAAGCTCATGACTAAGTAGAGGCAGAAATCTCTATAAAGACCAAATGTTTATTCAGACTGATGTGAGAACTCTTTAGCTTCTGATTCTCCAAGAACAAATGTGTCATAATTAGAAGTAAAAAATTGATGTGAATGGGTTGCTGTTTCCCAGGTACTAAAAGTGACCAATGAAGTGTACGGCTAGCTGCTGGACACAAGTCCCTGATACTCAAGGCCTGGTTGAGAAGACCTTGTAGTTGAGCAAACTCATTTGTTATTATATTTTTTAACTCATCAAACTTGAACTTGTTCTTTTTCTTTTCCTTTTTTGTGGCTCAAATAGTGATGCATGCAGCACAACACCTGGATTTGGGCAAATGATTTTAAATTCACACGTAAAAACCATAGCAATTTTATGATGAATTGGCCTCCATCTACTTCTGAATTTAAACTTTGCTAAAGGGAAAATCCCTACATTTTCTTTTCTTTTTTTTTTTCCTTTTTTTTTTTTTTTGAGACGGAGTCTCGCTCTGTCACCCAGGCTGGAGCGCAGGGGGTCGATCTCGGCCAATGCAAGCTCTGCCTCCCAGGTTCCAGCCATTCTCCTGCCTCAGCCTCCCAGGTAGCTGAGACTACAGGTGCCCACCACCGTGCCTGGCTAATTTTTTGTATTTTTAGTAGAGACAGGGTTTAACTGTGTTAGCCAGGATGGTCTCGATCTCCTGACCTTGTGATCCACCCGCCTCAGCCTCCCAAAGTTCTGGGATTACAGGTGTGAGCTACCGTGCCTGGCCAATCCCTACATTTTCTTAAAATTTAAGATATAATTCCATTAGCAAGAAACGTCAGAGTGACATTTTAAGCAATGCTTGCATCAGACAAAAAATGTATGATGTATTTGAAATCTATTGACAACACATTGGAAAACCTTCAAGAGTTCTAAAGCAGCCGTTACTCTGAAATTTAAAATAATCCCATTTTAGATTCTTTCAATTATAGTTAAGAGGATTTTGTAAAGGCTGTACCTGTAGCCAGTCTGTAGGTAATTTTAATAACAAGTGGTTAACTTAAAGATCTTCCTGTGTTAATTAGTGTTCTTTTTTAAATAAGAATTATTAATTAAATTCTCAATTCAGCAAAAGAAACCTTATTCTTTAATCAATGTCACAAAATTCTCCATAGTCAAACTTAGATCTCAGTTTCCGTGATGAGTGGCTGGGGAAAGGAATGCGTTCTCCCACCATTAATACCTTTTGAGCCAATAACTCTAGGCTGTAGATCCTTAGCTAGAAACGTTTTTGTCCACCCAGAACACACTTTGCATTTAGACTGAGGCCTCCTTTGAAATTCTGGCTCCTACATTTCCTATCTCCTTGACACTGGGCAATTCAGTTTTCCTTGCTGAGAATCCATCCTCTGTTTTTTGTTTGTTCATTTTGGTTTTGGTTTTGGCTTTTAAATCGAGGGTAGTCTGCAGTCAAGAAATATCACTGGAAGCTGGGTGCGGTGGCTCACGTCTGTAATCCCAGCACTTTGGGAGGCTGAGGCAGGCGGATAACTTGAGGTCAGGAGTTCCAGACTAGCCTGGCCAACATGGTGAAACCCCATCTCTACTAAAAATACAAAACTTAGCCAGGCATGGTGGCACATGCATGTAGTCCCAGCTACTGGGGAGGCTGAGGCAGGAGAATTGCTTGAGCCTGGGAGGTGGAGGTTACAGTGAGCCGAGATCATGCCACTGCACTCCAGCCTGGGTTACAGAGAGATACTCTGTCTCAAAAAAAAAAAAAAAAAAAAGAAAATGTCATTAGTCTTTGACCAATATTTATCCAGTCCTTATCCAGCCCCAGTTCCTAGTAATCACCATTCTACTCTCTGCTTCAGTGAGTTCAACTTTTTTAGATTCCACGTATACGTGATAACGTGGTATTTGTCTTTCTGTGCCTGGCTTATTTCACTTAACATAATGCCTTCCAGTTTCATTCATGTTGTCACAAATGACAGAATTTCCTTTTTTTCTCTAAAGCTGAATAGTATTCCATTGTGTATATGTAGATACCATATTTTATTTATCTATTCATCTGTTGATGAATGTTTAGGTTGATTCCATTTCTGGGCTATTGTGAATAGTGTTGATATAAGCGTAGGAATGTAAATATCTCTTCCACATACTAATTTTATTTCCTTTGTCTATATATCCAGTAGTGGGACTGCTTAATCATATGGTACTTCTATTTTAAATTTTCTGAAGAATCACCATTCTATGTTCCATAATGGCTTTACTAATGACATTCCCACCAGCAGTGCACAGGAGGAATAATTTCAAGAAATCTACTGCATAATATAGTTATGACTATAGTTAATAACAATGTACTATATACCTAAAAAATTGCTAACAGTAGACATTAAGTGTTCTCACCACAAATAACATAAGGTACAATATAGGTTAATAGCTTGATTTAGCCATTCCACATTGAATACATATTTCAAAACATCATGTTTTAAAACATTAAAACATCATGTTGTACATTATAAATATATATAATTTTTATGTCATAAAAAAAGAAATGTCATTATCATTCTTTAGTGACAATTCACCTGAAGTCTTCTTACCCATAGTTGATGAGTGTCTTTTAAATTATAAAGCTCAGGAAGTATGCCTTTAAATCACTAACCAATATCTGTGATATGGTTTGCTTAAGAACATTTTTAGATTGGAGAATAATTTACAAATCTAGGTCTTTCATTTTTAAAATAAATCATGGTGTTAGTTCATGATATTTGGGCCATATTTTTAAATCCTAATCCTGGGAAAGGTGGTTAGGTATATGGCAATTTATGTCTCCACTGAATTTCCATACAGAATGCCAGAAGGTACCACAGATAAAGCAAGAGCTTTAAGGTCAATCACAGCTGAGTTTGTATGTAGTTCAAGTACTTACTGGCTGTGTGGTTTTGGGGTAATATACTTAACCTTTCTCAATCTCTGTTTCTTCAGTTGAAAAGCTGGGATTATGCTTTCAAATTCAAATAATAATAAAAACTAACATTTCTTGAATGCTTATCATGCACCACAGGTATTGTATCATTTACTCCTAATAATAAATCCAGGGGGTGGCTACTGTTATCTGCATTTTACAAATAAAGAAAGGAGGCACAAAAAGGCAGAGCAGCCAGGCTTCAAAACCAGGCAGAGCTCCAGACCACCTTGCCTCTCAAATGTAAACTTGAAATGCCAGACGATCTTTCCATTTTCCCCAACCAAGGACTGACACTGAGGCTGAGGAGAATTGGCAGAAGAGAGAGAAGAATATCTGGAGGGTTTGTTCCTTTTTCAAATCAGCATTTAATAGCCCTGTTAAATTGGCAGGCGTGTATATTACTGACCATGTTTCTATTTTCCTGTAACACCAAAGAGTAAAGGCCATTTTTTTTCCCTATGAATAAAAGTTGTCACGGTCAGGAAATAAACCATATAGTTTGTCTACAACCATTTCCCTTGTGAAGCTAATTGATTTTGGCTAGTTAAAACTTTATGTCTAAAATCAAGGTCCAAAGAAGAAAGTATGTATACCTTCTATAGCATTTATAAAGAGACCAGGCACTATGCAGGAATTGGAGCAAACATTTGAACATATTTGTATTCTTCATATATTTGTCTCTATAAATTATATAAAATCCATTTTTGTAGATACAGAGTATAAGATTCCTAGGCATAAAAATGACTAAAATGCAATTGTATATAATATCAGCTACCTGCACTTGTTTTTCTCCTTCCTAATACCATCTCATTTTTTTGGGGGGTTGAAACTGAGAAACAAAGATATTAAATAATTTTCCTAAAATATACCCATACAACTAAATGGGAAAGCCATAATATAAACCATCCCTCTTAATCATCATGATATTAATAAGGAAGACAGGTGCTAAGCAACCATATGTTGACTGGGCTATCTATGTAGATAATCAAGTCCCTGAGAATGAGGACAGAGTAGAATTGGAGAGTGTGACAGTGAAGCAACAATAACACCTTTCATCAATGAGTAAATGACCAGGAAATCCACAGATGTGGAGCAAGAGAGTAGCACAGTTCTCTCAATAGAACCATGTTAGTGTTGCTTGTTTTTGTATCTGTCTTGTTTTGTTTTCCTAACAAGAGGAAGAAGGAGAAATTGAAGAATGATCTGGAAATGTAAGGAGGCTGTTGATTACAACTGGGGGTTCAATTTTTCACTCATTGTCATATTATAAGCCGTAACTTAGTTGTTATTCAGGAAATAGGCTGAAAGACACTGGCAGATGAGAATTGCAGAGATGGGAATGCTCTGAAGTTAGCAGTGTGGCCAGGTGGCCAGGATAATCACTTTTAGCTGGCCAAAAGATGATCATTTCTGTGGGAACATCAGCAAGTGAGTGACCTGACCATTTTAAGTCTCTTCCTTAGGGTCCTCCACATCCAGCCTGGGTAATATGTTGCTCAATCTGCTTTACCACACCAGGCAAAACAAGTATTGAATTTCAACCAATGATCACAGATCTTGTATTGTCTCATCCTTGCTGGTACTGTTCGCTTTTCTCTGGCTCAATTGTTGCCTTTTAAAACTCTTTACTTAAACCAGCCACTGGGCTTTTCCTTGGGGACAATGTAGAAGAGGAAAACAATGATAGAAGGGGGTGCTTTTTATTTCAGGTACAGCTGGGCAGGTGGGATGGATCAGGGAAAAGCTCCAAGGATGTCAAGAGTAGAAATAGTGATGTCTACCTTTGAAACTACAAAACTCCCTACACAACCAAGTGATTGGAGCTTTGAAAGCAATGCGGAGTAGAAAACTAATAGAATATCAACCTAGTTAAGGCAAGATTTGCTGTGGGGAAGGGAAGGTCCTGAGCCTCTATTTGGCCCTGAGGCTTATCAACCTGATACTTCAGTTGGGCTCAGAAAGACTCCTGCCCCCTCCCCATTCCCTCCCTCCCATTGTGAGGGACCAATCTCTCTTATTCTGTGTTTTCTTACCATCTCTTCCACCACTTACCTGCTCTACTCTGCTTTGCACATGGTCTCCTCAACTATGCCCTTCCCTACAGCCTTTTAAATGTGGAAAAGAAACAAAACAAATAACATGATCAAGAACTTACCGGTTTCCAGGCCAAGTGCAGTGGCTCACACCTGTAAACCCAAACACTTTGGGAGGCCAAGACAGGAGGATTGCTTGAGGCCAGGAATTTGAGACCAACTTCGGCAACCTAGCAAAACCCCCCTCTACAAAAAATTAAAAAAAATAACTGAGTATGGTGGTGCACAATTGTAGTTTCAGCTACTCAGGAGGCTGAGGCTGTAGGATTCCTTGAGTCTAGGAGGTCAAGGCTGCAGCTAGCCACTGCATGCCAGCCTGGACAACAGAGTAAGACTCTGCCTCAAAAAAAAAAAGAAAAAAAAAAGAAGGGAAGGGAAGAAGGAAGGAGGGAGGAAGGAAGAAAGAAAGAAAGAAATTCACTGGTTTCCAATGTAACAAATCCTTTATCTCAAAGTAGATGTACACTTAGAGTTGGAGACTTTTTTAAAAACAATTACAATGTCTCGGCTCTTGTGAACTGAGTTTGCTGTATGGTTATGTCACTGTGGATAATGATTTTCTCATTTTTTTACACAATGTTTATCAACTTTGGCTGTGCTTCCTCTCCTGAGCATGCTCCTTGTTTTGTAAAACAACTGGGGAACATTGAGATTTTTCATATAATTTCTGTGATGCCAGGCTCCTAAGGGATAAAGAAATACAAAGAACAGTGACTGGACAGATTGAGTGGAGCTTTGAAAGCAATACAGAGTAGAAAGATAATAGAATATCTACTATAATGACACATGCACAAGTGTTTTTATTGCAACACTATTTGCAATAGCAAAGACTAGGAACCAACCAAAATGCCTATCAATGATAGACTGGATAAAGAAAATGTGGCCCATATACACCATGGAATACTATGCAGCCATAAAAAAGAATAAGTTCGTGTCCTTTGCAGGGACATGGATGAAGCTAGAATCCATCATTCTCAGTAAGCTATCACAGAAACAGAAAACCAAACACCACATTATCACTCATAAGTGGGAGTTGAACAATGAAAGCACATGGACACAGGGAGGGGAACATCACACACCGGGGCCTGTCAGGGGGTGGGTGGCTAGGGGAGGGATAGCATTAGTACAAATACCTAATGCATGTGAGGTTTAAAACCTGGATGTCGGGTTGGTGGGTGCAGCAAACCACCATGGCACATGTATACCTATGTAACAAACCTGCACATTTTGCACATGTATCCCAGAACTTAAAATAATAAAAAAAAGAAAGATAATAGAATATTAACCTGGTTAAGGCAAGATTTGTGTTTTTTAAAACATATATTCCCCATTAAAGACTACACATGTACTTCTTAATGTTATTAACTTTGTCATGTATTAAGATGAACAGAAAGGCATTTCTATTATATGAATTTTTTCTTATTCTTGTGTCTTTCAAAAAGAAAAAAGAAAATAAAACAAACAAATACACACTCAACTCTCCCCCAAAAAACCAAAACAAAAACAAGCAATGCAATAATATTTCTCAAAAGATATGCTTGACACACTATCAGAAGTTCTGCCAACTTCAATCTATGCACTAGAAGTGCATTGAAAACTTTTATTCTTTGCTTCTTGTCTTTAATATTGTTGTAAATTCAATCCACTTCACTGGCATTACCTGCTAGCAACATTCCATCTTCACATTTGGATGAGTGTGAACTTATCAAGGTGACATATGTGTGATTTTTAATGGAAATTTTACTTTGTTTTTCTTAAAACTGGGTGTCAATTAGCAGTGACTCGCCTCCTTAACAAAGGAACAGGGTTTGCTGCCTGCCCAGCCACACAGCCCCTGGGGGGCTTCCTAGCCTGGGCTAGGCTGCTGCAACATCATCACACTTTATTAGTTACAGCACAGAGTTATGGAGGCAGGAGGAAAGTACTCACTATGCAATTTTCCTGATACCCCATGAGGCCTGAGCACCTCAAGGTGGGTTAGCACTCATGGAAAATCAGTTTAAGATGGGAAAATTTCAAACATCTTTCCTTATTTTCTTTCCCACACACAAATAGAATAATGCATTTTAAGTAACAAAGAACACTTAAAAAGCAAAACAAAAACAAAAAGACACTTATCCTTAAAAGCCACCATCTCCTTAGGATATTCCTCTTATATTAAATAAGGATACAAAGAGTAAAGTGTACTTAAAATCTCTCACAAAGATTGGAAATAAAATCTTCAAAAAGTGAATGCATACAATAGCACATACGTAGGACGTAATTCATTATTATTGGGAAATGAAAATGAAAGCACCATGGTACGATAATTCTGAATAAGAACAAGCTAATTACATTAGGGCAGCTTTCAGAAAACAAGAATTTATTTTTTTATGACAAATATGACTCAGTACAAAGTACACAAAGTATTTTCTGACTCTTACTGTGATATGCCTACTTTATTTCAAGTAAAATATATGAATTTTTAAAAGGTTATGAAAATGTGTTTATGCTTTAAAAAAATCATTTCAGTAACATGTTGGATATCTGGAATATCCATATATTGGAGGTCTGTGTTCTCAGTCTACAAGGAAAATTGCCAAATCCACTCTAGAGTGCCAGGCTTAAAAAGGTGTTGAAGAGAGCCTGCCCGATTACCTGAATTCCAATTTGGCTCACAATGAAAGATAGAAAAATTACCTAGATGCATTTCAATGTTGCTTCTCCCCTTGCAATAGACCTTATTTAATAGCTTATTACACTCAGAAAACAAAGCATATTTTAAGGAAAGAACTCACGACGCATGGTTCCTGTCTCTTGACAGAACGGCCTCTTTGAATTCTTTTGTCAATTTCATAGATTTCTAACAAGCAGAGAATTGTTTTTTAAATCTGATTTTTTTTAATGCCAGCAGCACTATTTCCTCCTCTTAAGTAGGACAGATTCATCCTTTAAGCAACAATGGATGCTTCCCTGCTGAACTCGAGCATGACAGATTAAGCTTCGAGCAGACCAGTAAATGCCACCTCCCCACTTAACAAGGCTGTTCAGAGCCAGGCGTCTGGGGCCTCGCCGTATTTGTTCCTGGAATCACTGTCTGATGAGCCACTGCTGTCCGAGGTGGCCAAGCAGCCCTGATTGAGCGAGCTATGTGAAGACCCGACAGGGGCCTGGCAGGGCGGCGGGGGCATGCCTCCTTTTTGGTGCTTCCAGGCAAATTCCTTGCCTCCAAATTGTGCCCGCCTCAGGACAGTTGGCTTGTACAATGCCTGGCAGAAAGTAGACACTTTGCACTTGTTTACTGAATATAAAAGAGAAAAATAGAGAGAGAAAAAATCTGAGTTTAGAGATGCCTTTCAGACCTTGCCGGATAAAATGCTGTTATTTCTGGCAAAGTGGTGAGGTGACACTGACTTGGAAGAATAACTAAGAGGTTAAAAAAAAAAAAGTAGGACTAACAGTGAACAAGCTAATAAAACACATGGAAACCAAATTAGTGGTAGCCAAAATCAATAATAGATCCATTATATTTCAAAATATCTTTTATAAGAAAATGGCACTTGGAATATGTTTCTAAATGCCTTTTAGAGACCAGTGTGTTGCATAAAGAAAAATACACCTGCATCCAGAATTATAATTTTAAGAACCATTATTTAGATTGCTGTGAGGTATCTTAAAATGCGATTCAATTTGCTCCTTAGATATTGCATATCAAACTATAAAAGCAAAGCTACATTGTTGGCTTTCTCCCTTTTTGGCAAAGAAATAGAATTGAGAATCTGCCTGTTGAGGTCAGAAACAGACTGAATCAAAAAATATGAAAGCATGAATGTACTGTTCTCACATTTATGTAATTGATGGCTATTTTACTTGTTGAAATCTTAAGTCTTTCACAACCACATGCGTATGTTTGTCATTTATCCCCTTTTCTCAGGTGCAAAGAAGGCTACCAAGGAGTCCGTTGTGATCAATTTCTGCCGAAAACTGATTCCATCTTATCGGATCCAAGTAGGTCAAGCATTTTTCTTCTCTCTAATGCAATATATAGGCAGCGTTTATTCTGAGCAATGGTTGTTAACTCAGCTGAAAGCTATATTTCAGTCTTGTGTCTCTGAAAGCTGCCAAGGACAGAAGCTGATGGCAGATGTTGATGTTCAAAGCATCCTCAGAGCTGGCTCAGTCTAGGTCTTCTCTGACGATGAGGCCTGGCTTCCGGATTCCACCTTGAACCCCTGCTGGGAACTCCCAACAACCCGGGCCTCCTTAGCTTTCCTTCTGCCCAGCCACGTACCACCTCATTTCAAAAGCAGGGATCTAGAAAAATAACAGAGCTTATTATTTACCTGAAATAATGTTATGGAAACTACAGTATTATACCGCTTCTTACGCTTTGGTTGTTAATTTATGATAGTATTAAACCATACCTTACTAAAGTAAGAAAACGTGTACGAAATCATGTAAGAAGTTTTCAAGCAGACTTTGAAAACTCCATTTTTGGCAACACTATTTGCATATCAGTGATTACTGTCCTAAGGACAAATTATTTTTTCTCCATTCATGGAAGAAGACAATTTGCAGACTAAAAAATATGGCTAGTCATTAGTTTGTTTGTATGGTAGTAAAAGTAACCTTTTATGCTTAAATGCCCAATTCTAGTCAAATGTGAAATGTTTATCTTTAAAGAATTCTCTGTTCTTTCAATAGCTGCTAGAATTGAATCATGACTAAAAAATGGGGATTTTCATTGAATCAGCGATTTAGTTTAGTGAGGATAATGATAGGCATTTTGCAATTGGAAAGGCCAAGTTATGGTTTTCTGAATATCATACATACGTAACACAGACTTCAGTAAATATTTTGTACTGACTAAGGACAGAGGTCGCCCTGCCTGTGTCTGTGCGTTTTGCTGCATAATGAACGTGTCTAGGCATCTTCCAACATCTTTTCAAAATGCATATTTTCATTTCCCCCTGAATTTCTAGCTACATTTACTCAAGTAAATGCAAAGTTATTTGAAAGAAAAAGGTTTTGTTTAATTTAATTTAATTCTATTTTATCTTGACGAAGCAATTCACCATACAGTAACTACTCTTTCTTTGCAAATTTAGCTTTCCTTGAGAAAAGTGAAGGTTGCCACAGGGATATCTCTATTTCCTGAAATGTGAGACACAGTTCTCTGGGAATTACCCAAAGAGGATGGTATTACTGGAGTTTTTGGTATCTTATTTATCAAGTGATTTGGACCACTTGCTCAGGTGGCCTCTGAAAGGGTATTCATGGTTATGATGTGAGACATATCTTTGGCATGTTAGGAAACTTGCATAAAATAATGGGCTTGCTGATTTCTTTCTTTTTCTTTCTCTCTCTTTTTTCCTCACTTTTCCTAATGTATCTAGTTTTTCTCTTTTTCTTTCTCTCTTTTTTCTGTTTTTATCCCTTCTCTTTTCCTATTTATTTCCCTTCATTATTTTGTCTCCTTTAATATAATACTTCTTCCCTTCCTCCCTCTTTCCCTTCCTCCCTCTTTCCCTTTCCCCCTTTCCTCCCTTCCTCCCTTCCTCTCTTCCTTTCTTCTTTCTTTCCTTTCTTCCTTCCTTCCTCCCTCCCTCCCTTCTTTCCTGTTTTGCTTTCTTTTCATATGTGGCTGTGGAATAGCTATTCAGTACAGGTTACAAAGGGCAAGGTCTTGCATATGGTACAAAGTGGGTAAAAAAAACCTCTTTAAACAATCTAATCAAATGTTACCAGCCATTTAGATACCATAGTTCATCACTGCAAGAGTGGAGGAGGGGGTCACCATAATGACTATTCTCTCCTCGTAGAACAAAATGGTCCCACGGTTACAGTCACTATCCCTGAAAACCTATTTCAATGTCTATTAAATTGCTATTAAAATTATAGCTGTGTGAGCCAGGCACGGTGGTTCATGCCTATAAACCCAGCACTTTGGGAGGCAGAGATGCTTGAGGTCAGGAGTTTGAGACCAGCCTGGCCAACATGGTGAAACCCTGTCTCTACTAAAAATACAAAAATTAGCCTGGTATGGTGGCAAGTGCCTGTAGTCTCAGCTACCTCTGGAGGCTGAGAGAGGAGAATCACTTGAATCCAGGAGGCAAAGTTGAAGTGAGCCAAGATCACGCCACTGTACTCCAGCCTGGGTGACAGAGCAAGACTCTGTCTCAAAAAAAAAAAAAAAAAAAAAAAAAATTATACCTCTCTGAAATGTTTCTATTAAGTGAAACTGCAAGATAAAAAATTACTTTTATATAAAATTGCAAAAGGAACATACTTTGCCCCAAATGTAGAAAAGAAATACACTAAAATGTTGTAAGGACGTGGAATTTTATGAAATTGTTTTTCTATTTCTCCAGTTTTCTGTAAAGTGGTATATCATTATGTGAGTCAAAATGCCAGAATCCTTGAAATTTAAAAAGAAAGAATAAGCATGGAGAGCCCATGGATGAGTCCTTGAGACACAGCTTAAATGGAAAAGCATTATGTCTTGCATTCATCCATGCACACGTGCATTTCTTTAGGTAATCATTAATTCATTTCATCAGTATTTTCTCAGCATCCACCAAGAGCCACCTAATTGGTCAGGCTCTGTTAATACAAAAGTGTGCAAACAGGATTTAGGCCCTGAGGATCCCGCAGATTAGTGAGGGGGAAAAACATGTGGATATATAAACATGGGGATGAATTTGGTGTAACATTTACCCTTTTCCGACGTTAGCAGATTTGATTCGGCTTCCAGGCCTCAGGCTTTCACTTGAGCAATGGCAACAGTAATACCTATAAGCATTATTGTTATCATATAGATGGACAGAGTCAATGCCAGATAATGTCAGCCCACTTCCCTTATTCCTCACTATAATTGTTACTAATACGCGTTTAAATGATACATGTGCCAGGCACTGTGCCAAAGGCTTTACATGGATTATTTTATTAAACCCTCACAATCACAGTTTAGTAAGGAGACTGCTGACAATTGCCCACATTTTATAGATGAGAAAATTAGACCTCAGGGAAGCTAAGTAAACTTGCTCAAGGTCATACAGCTAGTTAATGCTAGAGTTTAACTTCCATTCCAAATGACTCCAGGACCTGAGCTCCCAACTGAAGGGCGCTTTCCTCCCTCCCCTAGAACCCTCCCTTCTCTAGTTATTTTCAACAGGACATTTATCACTCTAAATTCCACTGACTGAAACTCAATGACCTGCGGCAAACATTATTCTAAGGAACAATATTTGCACAATTTTCATATCTTAATGCAGCAACTTGAGCTTCCATAGAGATTTAAATCCCTAATGAAATTTCCTTGTCAAAATTCTTGCTGAAGGATTGTTTAATTTGCTGCTCATGATATCTTCAGAATGACTGTATGCTCAGGAAATAAGCTTCCACTCAACTCCCTCCCTCCATTTTTTCTCTTCTGTCTCCTCTCTTCTCTCCATTCCATCTTCCTTCCTTCCTCCCTCTCTCTCGTCTGTCCAGTGCATACTTTTGCTGAGTGAAATCCCTATTAGCAGGGGGTGAGAAACCGCTGCTCTTTTATTCTCTCCCAGGCAATGCAAAGTTAGTCAGAAATGTGTATCTTTTACATTAAATTTTAAAAATAAAATCTTAAATGACCTATATTTAGGAAAATGGTGCAAGGATGTCACTGTGAGAGCCTTACTGGCTTGAGTGTCTTAGCAGTGGTTCAGAGCTGGGTCCTCAGACTGTTTCAAAAACTCATCCCCTCTGCTCTCTTTTAAATCCCAAGAACCTATAGCTAACTCCATTCAGGAACATATTTACCTATGAGGATCAATCTTATAAAGTGTGTCAGTGACAGTTTTTGTAAATATATCTAATGCACCAATCTGTCAGATTAATCAAACCCTCCTATGGATTCAATGTACCACAAGTCGCATTCAGATCATGAGGCTGAATAGCAAGCAGGAGTTCAGAAAGAATGTAGTGAGTGACTCAGACTTTGGTCAGAGTCAAGAGGAAGTGACCTTCTGTGGAGGAGCCGGCATCAGCTACTGTGGCATTCTTGAAGGGCATATTTCTGCCTCCTGCCTCCTATGCTGCCAGCGCACTGAGGGATAGCAGCAGTAAGCTTCCCGGAAGCTGACTTGTAGACTCCTGCCCTGGTTTTCCTTCCTTACTACCCATTCCCACCCAGGGTAGTTACCATCCTCAGCCTTGAAGCACAGTTAGATGGAGCTGAACTATGTGTCAGTCAGAACTGTGAGCCAGCGAAGGTTTTTCTCCATCTCCCCTCTCATGAGCACATGCCAGGCTGAGTTCCCATCAAGATCCTGACATAATCACCAGCCAATGGAAGCATGGGGGATGCTGCAGAGAACAGACTCAGAACAGAATCAAAGAATGCAGTGGGGTAGAGAAGATGCCCATTGGAAGCAAGGGCACGCCTCCTCACACACAGCTGGAGACAGCCGTTTCTACCCCACCCTGTGCCTTTCTCTCCCTGTCAGAATCCAGTACTTAGCATATTCCTGGCTGTGATGGCAGGCTTGAGTCTGCAGGCTCAAGCTCTGGCAAGCAGTGTATACAGCTTAAACACTTGGAGTCGTCTAGCCCCTCCGTGGAAGGTAGGAGCATCACTTCCATCATGTATTCATACGTGCTGACTTCGATTCGCACTTTGTTTCTTTGCATCTTAGAAACAGGCTCTGTTCTCAAAGCACCTGGAAAGATGCTAGGAGCCTGGTCTGGATGTGATTCAGAGGAAGACTGGTGAAAAATATGATATGGATTTAGACTTCCCATCAGCCCACTGGGTTTGTGTGCCTCAGCTTTCCAGGAAGAACCACTTCACAAGTCCCTAAAGAAAAGAAAAAAACAATCTTCGGTAGAGTGTGTTCTAGCACCAGAGAGGGCATCAGGTAGGAAAATAAATTTATAAACACAGCCCCACTTCCAAATGGCCTGCAGAGACAACCAAATCATGCCCAAGCTTGGTCTCCTTCCTCATGTTCCCAGGGATTGTCATTCCCAGTGCCTAGACCATCAGGCTCAGAGCCAAGTGGTGCCCCTTTGCCATATGTGTCACAGTGAAGGAAAAAAAAATTGAGAACAGCCTGGGAATGCCAATGTAGGGCCAGGAGCCTGGGTAGGCATTTGCTAAGCAGACACAAGGAGATTTTCCTGAAGATTATTAACAGAAAGTTTTCCCCCAAAAGACCCATGTTCTGTATTCTTGCCTTTCTCAATTGTATTTAATATATAGGAACATGTGTTCTGTGTGTCAACAATTAGGTGAAAGGGTGAAACAAAAGGTGCTCTGAATTGGAAGTCAAAGGGTTTTGTTCTAATTCTGTGACCACCTGATCTTTGTGGTGTGGCCTTTGGCAAAGCACAGTTTATTTGGACCTTGGTTTCTTTATCTGTAGAACAATTCCATGGGCATCCAGCTTAAAGAAAGTGATGGCCCTCAGCAGAGCAGGCTGTCTTGCAAGCCATTCAGAAGGGGAGTTCAGTGCACCACCAAACTAGTGGATTTCTTCACTCATTCATTCATTTCCCCAGATAATTAAGCATATGTAACATATACCATGCTTTGGATCCAAATAATAATAATCACAGATCCTATTGTCTTAATCCATTTGGGATGCTATGAAAAAATACCATTAACTGGGTGGCTTATAAACAACAGAAATTTATTTCTCACTATTGTGAATGCTAGGAAGTCAAGATCAAGGTGCTGGCAGGTTCAGTGTCTGCTGTGGGCAATTTTCTGATAGAGGGTGCATTCTCTGTTTCCTTACATTGGAAGGCATGACACAACTCTCTGCGCCTCTTTTGGAAGGGCTTGAATCCTATTCATGAGGATTTCTTCTTCCCGATCTATCACCTCCCAAAGGCACTGCCTCTTACTAGCACCACATTAAGGATTAGGTTTCCACATAAGAATTTCGGTGGGACACAAACTTTCAGACCATAGCATCTACCATCAGTAAACTCAGTGTAGTTAACTGTGTTTATTGACATTGAATTACAGACTACAAAGGACGTAATGTCTGCAAGATATTGAAATGTTTTCTTCCTTCACTCATTCAAAATCTTATTAATAGTTTGACATTGGACAAGTTGCATAACATTAATAAACCCTGGCTTTCTTCTTTATAAATTAAGATATTCTAATCTGTAACATATATAGCTGTTGCTAGGATGAAATAAAATACTCCATTCAGAGCATGTCATGCTTGGGACATTGTGAGAGCTCAATAAATATTATCTATTATCATCATTATTATTTTTGTTGTTTCAACTGTCACCTTGATTAGTACACAGTGTACAAGGCACTGAGACAGGTGCTACTAAGGATTAAAAAGCATGCAGCCTATTACCTGGCCTCGAATATCTCCAGTTGTACTGAGGAAGTAAAAATGCATGAAGAAGTACAAATGAGGACACACGAAAGACATGATTGCTAAGGAAATATAAAAATGGAGGGGCAATAAAAGTTCACATAAAGTGGAAGGAGAGATCTGGTGTTAGGAAAGGATTTCTCTAGGAGAGAAGATTGCAGTGAGCTATTCACACAGGATGTGTATCTGTGAACTGTTGTACAAGCTGCACACTGCCCGACTTCACTGGTATCATTTATGCTAGAGTGTGAAGGGCCTTCTGTGGAGGGTTGCAACTTGGTCCTGGGAAGGACATTTCCATGAATAAATTAGATAGAGGAAAAACAGATTCTTGAGGACACAAAGCAGAAACTAATTATCACTTTCCCCTGGTCTATTAATCCATACAGATGAAAGAATGTATCTTCCAGACTGGCATCTGCTGGGAATACTTAAGTCTGCTAAGCTACTCTGCCTTCCAGGAGCCATAAAAACATTGTTAGCAGAATGGATTTATATGTAAAATCTGTCACTCTTATTACCGTTTTTCTGGCTTGCCATGAGAAGGAGAAACAGAGAATTATCTGATTTTGACCATGTCACCATGAATCTCACAAAACCCATTAATTCTGTCAGGTTGTATATTTTTATATATTTGATTGCTAATATCTTCAAGTCTTTCCTTTTAAATTATATAGACACCAATCTTTTACCAATCATGTATGCAAACACATGATTTCTAGATACTAGGAAAATAATTTTATTTACAAGAAAGGAAAAATTTCCTATGGGTACCTGATTCAGAGATAACCACTGATAATCAATTCGTGCATACTACTCCACATATTTTCTACTTTTTCTGTGGCATACATATGTATTCATTTTTATTTGTTTGTTTGGTTTTTAGAGGCAGGGTCTTGCTCTGTCACCCAGGCTGGAGTGCAATGGCATGATCTTGGCTCACTGCAGCCTCAACTTTCTGGGCTCAAGTGAGCTTGCCTCAGCCTCCCAAGTAGCTGGGACTACAAATGCCTGCCACCACACTCAACTACTTTTTAAAAAAATGTTTATAAGGACAGGGTCTTGCTATGTTGCCCAGGCTGGTCTTGAACTCCTGGCCTCAGGAGATCCTCCCATCTCAGTCTCCCAAAGTGCTGGGATTACAGGCTTGAGCCACTGTGCCAGACTTGTATTTGGTTTTAACCATTATGTTGAAAGCAGGCCTCACAGGGCCAGAGGGAAGCCCACCTGCCCTTGCCTCTCTCAGCTAGAGTGTTTGGGTCTGTCTGCCCAGCTTGCTAACTACAGCTTCCCTGTTGGCCCCGGCTCACTGGGGGCCACTCTACCCACTCTACCCGGGAAGAGGATTGTTCTTCTGTCCTCCCAGGGGGCCTGTTCAGCAGGTCTGAAGACAGTTCCCAACTGGTTCTCGGTTCTCCTGTGTGGTCCACAGCTATTCCACAGGACATGCTCACTATATTGTATCATTGTGCCCTGGGAGAGCTGGGCATTCAGGAGCCTCTGTCACCAGACTGTCAGGATCAAAGATGACACTTCCTCTCTGTCATCTCTCCTCTGTCCTTTTTATAGTTTCAAAGTCAGAGAGGGAGATCAAGTGTTATGGAATGGTTCTAGATTATCTAATTATTTCCTTTATAAATTCTGCGTGTGGTGTTTTGTCTCACACTTCATTATCTATTATTCATTATATTGACATCTTAATCAAATCTGAGGTACCAGAAATTAAATATTCATACCTTATTACACAATATACTCATTTGCCTTACAAAATTAGGATTGGCTGGATGCTCACGCTTGTAATCTCAGCACTTTGGGAAGCCATGGTGTAAGTACTCCTTGAGCCCAGGAGTTGAATATCAGCCTGGGCAGCATAGGAAGACCTTGTTTCTAGACAAAAAAATAAAATAAAATAGCCAGGCATGGCGGTATGCACCTGTAGTCCCAGCTACTTGGGAGGCTGAAGCTGGAGGATCGCTTGAGCTCAGGAGCTCGAGGCTGCTGTGAGTTGTGATTGCGCCACTGCACTCCAGCCTGGGTGATGTAGTGAGACCTTTTCTCAATTAATAACAACAACAAAAAAAGGAACACCATCAGGATTATACTACCTGTATTTTGTAACTTCTACTTCCCACTCAATATATTGTGAGCTTTTTCCCACAGAATTTTCTTAATTTTATATTCTTTTAAACTATTCTTTTATATTCTTTTATAAATATTCCTTATAATATTATAAGAATTTAACGTAAATTATTTTACCAGTCATCTATGAAGGGCTGTTTAGTGGGTTTCCAATTTTGCCTGCTTACAGTGATTAACAACCATTATGCGTAAGTCTCTGTACCTTGATGTCCAAATGATTTCTTGAGGATAAATTCCTAGATTTTGATATATTTTGATAACTTTTCCTCCAGAAAGATTATATCTGTTTACATTTCCGTGAGTGAAAAGTAAAATTGATTTTACTTTTTTCTTTACCAACACTGGATAGTATTAATTGCTACTTGTACAGGGAAAATTATATACCACTAATATTTTATATTGTACCTTGATTGCCAGCAATATTGAATCCTTTTTTCACTTGTTTATTGGTCAGTTTCATTTGTACCTTTATGAATTTTTAATTATTTTTCTTTGCTCACTTTGAAATACTATAATATTTCAATCTTATTTAAAAGAGTTTGCTATTTTGAGGATAACAAACTATTCACTATCATATAATTTTTCCAGATTGCTCTTTGATTTATTATTTATGATATTTTTTGAAGCATACAAAAGTTTTGCCTTTTATGGAGTCAAATCTATTAGGTATTTTTTAAAAAGTAGTTCATATGGGCTAATGCTATCCTTAGCCTAAGAATGAAATGAATTAACAGTAATTAAGCTATTCAATTTTATTATATTTCTATCTGAAATTTATGTTAGTGTGTAGTTTTATATTAAGAGTAATATGTTTAAAAACACATTTAATTTTTCCAACAGAATTTATTCAATAGTCTGACATTTCTTGATGATTTATAAATATAAATTAATTATATAATATATAATTACACATATTTGGTGTTGTCTGTGGACTTTCTACTCTGCAGATAGGGGTAACACCATGAGAGTATTTAGTTTTAAGAGAATTGTAGTTTACATTTGGTAAGATTATTTCCTCAATTTAAAAATATATAATTGGTTAAATATGATTCAACCATATATTGATTTGAACTTGATTACATATGCATTTTAGAATAATATGCTTGAAAAACAACCAATATATGATATTAAATACAATATAGGATTCAAAACAACATGTATGTTATGACTAGGGTGACCATATAACTTATCATCTAAACTAGGATATTTGGAAAGTGAAAAGCAGAGCTATGAATAATTACACTGGAATAAAAAATATGAGGCAAAACTATACACTCACCCAAATTTGTAACATAAACATGTATATACTTAACTACATAGGCTTAAAAAAAACTTGAAGGCACTGTATTGCAAAATATGGTAGGATTGCACAATTTTTTCAATATCTTTTGTGTATCTCCCAATTTTCTGCAACACATTTATATTGTATATATTATTATATTATTTATTTTTAATTATTATTTTAAATTTAATAAATATTAAAAGAATGACAATAATGACAAATGCTTTTTTGATGATTACTGCCAGGGACTGTTCTAAGTTTTAACAAATAATCCTCACACAGTGTTGTAAGGTAGATTAAATCAATTCCCACTTTAATGTGTGGAAACTGAGAAAAATAAAGTAAATAAATAAATACATAAATAAATAATAAAATAAATAAAATAATTTGCCCAAGGATACACACTTAGTCAATGGAAGCACTGAAATTTTAAACCCATTGGGTATACAGTCTAAAAAAATAGAACATGAAGAAGCAGTTACAAACATTGAGAGAATCGCTTTCCCATAGAGTTATAATTATGATTCCTCACATTGCTTCTCTTCCTTTGAGCATCATTATTTTTGATGCAACTTTTCATACTGTTCTGCTGTATTAGGATTTGTGGTGTCTTCTAACAAATTGCAATATGGGTTCCTGTGTAAAACTTGAGGGCTTGGAGAGAGGAGGGTTTTATTTAGTTTTGTCTTGACAGTTGCAACTTCAGTTGCAGTCGGAGTAGGGAAGGCTTTGCTGCAAGCCACCTTGCTGAGACATGCCCTGAGGTGGTGCTCTGTGTTCATTTCCTAAGCAGAAATTTGCTGTTTTGAGACCTCCACTCTGCTCATAGCATGACTCCCCAGAGAGAAAATCCTAGCAGTGTCTCTGGTCTCTGCTTATAGGGCACCTACAGCTGAGGTTGGTGTAAGACAGGTGTCTCGTGGCCATGGCTACCTGCTCAAGAAGGTGTAAAGCCCAGGACAAATGCCTAAGTTTCACCACTCGCCCTACCCTCTGCTACCTTTGCCCTCATCCTCTCCATGTGAGCAATCTTAGTAGGGTTCTTATCACTCCTATAAGGTGTTTGGAGCCTGATTCTGCTCAACTCTCCATACAGTTTAATTTTATATACAAGTTTTTGTAGTGTATTTCTACCTTTACTGTATTTGGCCTGTCACTTATATGTGAGGATGGTGCCTCCTTCTGAGATTTATCCATTGATGTAGCTCCCCCTCCACATCCCATATTCATAATTTTTTTTCATGGAAAGCATATGTGGGGACAGTCTTTTGTGAGTATTCCAATGGCCTTTTTAACTAGAAGTTTCCAAAGGGTTCACTTTTGAGTGAGTAGAAGGAAGCACTGAAAAAAAAAAAAAAAGATGGAAAATGGGGCCAAGACTACCCGAAGATTAAAAGCAAAGAAACAATAACCACAAAACCCAATTAGCCCTCAATCAAAAGGGTCCAGCACATTGGAGATTACTTTCATTCTGCCATCCATAGCTTTCTGTGCTTCTTTCTCATAGTCCACTTTGGATAAATTTCAATCACATCTAATAACATCACATGTGTCACTAGACAGACACAACCACTTTCTGCAAAATTCAGAGGAAAACCATAATCATTTTCAACTCTGTTAACTAGACTTTCCTAAATGAATCTATTTATTTACATTCTATGCCCAAGAGCTACATTTTGAAGATAAATAGCAGAATTACCTATTTCTTTTGATGGTGTTTTACATGACACTGATGTTAGGAGACAACCAACACAGTGCTGTACCAAGTAACACGCCCATGATCCTCCTTTTCCTGAGACAGCTATTTTCATAGAATATGATAGAGCAATTTCACCAATGTGTGACTGACATGAAATGGAATGGTTTGAGCTATTATCATCTTTATTTCTAATTTGGTACTACCAGCGTTTCAGTTTTTAATATAGTTTTAAAAAATTGGACACATGAATTATAAATAATATCTCATAATGTGGATTAAGAACACAAACAGAGAGAAGCAGAAAAACTGACTACATTGTTGACAGTAGTCAGAGACACAGGGTTCTGAATTTTCTCTTAAGAGAAACATCTCCTTAGGTCCCCTTAGGCCCATATTTCAAGTTCCAACAGAGTTTTTCATGGAATGAGGACTTAACTGAGTGCCAAATTTCATGCTAGGCCTCTGTCTACACATCCTTATTTATTATTTCTGAGTTATAGTAATTTTATGGTTGAGGCAACAGACATTCAGATAAATTAATTCACCTACAAAAATAATCAATTTGTAAGAATTTGAAATCAAATCTGCTGAGTCCACATTTTAGCCATCAAAGGGCCTTTTGATATGGGCCAACCAAATTTTCTTGCAATAGGAAACTTTTTAATATTTATTTTACTTTATTTTTTCATGAGGGGTCAAGAGCAAAACATTCTCCATCATTTATTGAAATTAATATCTTCATTAAGTGTCATGACAAGAGGTATAATTAAAAATGTAACTTGAAATATGTCAAAAGATGGATGCATAATTAGTACAGTTTGGGGTAAAATCATTGCATTAAGCAAAGCAGTCCACCGTATATAACCTAATTCTTGTACATGATACGCACTTGACAAAACTGTGAACAATTAAAATGAATTTTTGATGATTTGTTTGATATGTGGATAAATTTTTTAGAACCAGCACTGGATCTTCTGAATTCCTGGCTCCCCTAACTATTTTTAGTCTCTCCTTATGAATAAGCTGTCAGTGGTCAATTATACTGGTTGGTGTCTCCACTGTCTCCATTTTCTTGGGAATCTTGAAAAGTCAATCCCTTAGGGAAGTTTTGTTTGAGAATTAAGGTGGAATTGATCTGGCAGATAAACATTAGATTCCCACTGTGCTTTAAACCATGAGAAGGTTATCAAATTTTCAGTTTTTCCTGATTTCTTGTCTTCACAGAAAAGCTCTGTGATTATACATGCAGGACATTTTTAAATATTGGGCATAACCCACTTTAGTTGTCCAGGAACACATTCCAGATCCAATAGGAGTGCTTTGTGGATAATCTGTAAGTGGTGTTCCTTAATTAAGAGTGAGCAACAGGGAATTTGTAAATCAAAAACACATCCCTATAGTGTAAGCCAATTCAGCTACAAGTAACATTTATTAACAACCTATTCTAGTTCATACAAGAAACCTTGCCAGGTACATGCACAAAAGTTCTGTCATTTAACTCTTACAAGATAAAGTAGCTATTAGTATCCTCATTTTTGAACTATGTAAATAAGATTAGAAAAGGAAACCCTAGATGAAGAACATCATCAAGACTTATTGTAAGATATAAGAAGAACTAAATTGAGAGATAATAGCATGACCTACCATAGAATACTTTTGTAGAATGGAATTGTTCCTTAAATATCTATTGCTATAGTTCCAAATACAATCCTCAGACTATGTCTTAAATGTTTTTCTTAGCTTTTGTTTGTTTGTTTGTTTCTTGTGTATCTAATTATGGAACTTAATCACCAGCTTGTTGAGGACAAATATGCTGGATTTGGTTACCACTACATCTCAAGTGCCTTTCATGCTTCCATTACATCAGGCACTCAGGTAATTTTGATTGAATGAGTGAAAGAGAGACTTGTTTAAGGTAACATGTTTTACTAGCTCCCATTTTAAATGTGGTTTTAGTACACCTACTTTAAAATTTATTTAGTATTCACCCAATGTCTATGACTTTGCTAAGAATTATGGATAATTAATACAGTAACAGTATATTTTATTTTATTTTAAAAACCTATTTTAATTGAATTTAATTTTTAGGATAGTAATACATTCACATGGTTCAGTATCAAACAGCATAAAGAGGTTTACAATAAAATGTATTCTACCCTTATCCCCCATTTACCCAGTTCTTCTGTGATAGGCAATCAATGCCGTTAATTCCTTGTAAATCTTTGTAAAGCTACTGTATAAACGTATAAGTAAAATGAACAAAAAATCCCCTTATCTCTTTTTATATAAATAACAGCTCGTAATACACACTGTTCCACATCTCGCTTTTTCATCTAGCAATGATCTAGCTTTTTCATCTAAAATGATCTTCAAGATCATTTTATTTCAGTTCATACAGAACATTCTAATTCTTTTTATAATTGTATACAATTCCATTCATTGCATATAGCATAATATGACTGCTATGGTCTGAATGTTAATGTTCCCACCAAAAATTCATATGTTGAAACATAATTACCAATGTGATGACATTAGGAGGTAGATTAGATCATCAGAGTGAAGTCCTCATGAATGGGATTAATGACCTTAAAGAGGCTCAAGAGCTGCCTTGCTTCTTCCACCATGTGAGGACACAGCAAGAAGACGCAGTATAAGTACAAGGGCCTTTTACCTGCCAGCACTTTGATCTTGGACTTCCCAGCCTTTAGGATCATAATAAATAGATTTCTGTTATTTATAAACGACCCAGTTTATGGTATTTTGTTACAGCAATCCAAAGGGACTCAGAAAACGATGTAACAACCCATCTGTGAATTTGCATTTGGTTTATTTGCTGTTTAAATTATGCTACTTTAAGTAGTATATAGAATAAATTTCTAAAGTGGAAAATGTGGGTGAAATATATGTACCTTTATAGACCTTTGGGTTCTCCTCATTGTCATACTACTAGAATGGTACCAATTTAAAATCTTAAATCCTCTGTTTTCCAAAGCCTCTTTGACATGACGGTTTGTTTTATGAAACTATATTTGTCTTTGTTTAATCTTAGAAGTGAAGAATACTAACTCATTCATTTTTAAATTTAATTCTTTTTATGATGAGTGACATGAAAACATCTTTTTATATTTTAAAAGTTTTTTATTTTTTCTTTCCTGTGAAGTCTCTTTAATATTCCTCCCCAGTGTGTAATTCAGTTATTGGTGATTTTCTTATTGATTTGTAGGAGCTATTTTTATTTAAGGGAAATGAGGCCTTTGATTATGACATGAGATTGAAGTAGTTTTTTTCTTTTGATCTTTGCATTTTGTCTTTGATTATGATAGTTCAGGCACAACAGGAAACTTCTTTTTCCTTTCTTTTTTTCCATGCATTCCTCTTTTCTCCCTCCCTCCTTCTTTCTTTCCTCTCTTCATTTCTTTGTTTTTCCTTCCTTCTTTCTTTCTTTCTTTTATTCTTTTATTAGAATAATTCATTTTTTACCATTGTGGCTATTGGGTTTTGTTTACTACCTTTAAAAAGTTCCACCGGGAGTGGTGGCTCACACCTGCAATCCCAGCACTTTGGGAGGCTGAGGTGGGCAGATCATGAGGTTAGGAGATTGAGACCATCCTGGCCAACATGGTGAAACCCCGTCTTTACTAAATATACAAAAATTACCTGGGCATGGTGGCACATGCATGTAATCCTAGTTCTTTGGGAGGTTGAGGCAGGAGAATTGCTTGAGCCAGGGAGTCAGAGGTTGCAGTGAGCCAAGATCATGCCTCTGCACTCCAGCCTGGCAAAAGAGTGAGACTCCATCTCAAAAAAAAAAAAAAAAGTTCCTTCTCACTCCAAATTTATTCACTAATATTTCTATCTAAAAATTTTAGGAATGTAATTATTTCAGTATTTTTTCCTTAAATCTTGAAATGAATCCAGACTTCTTTTTTCCTAGATGATTACACAGATTCCCAAGATCATTTAATTAGTAATATTATTAGCAGCATATTTGTCAGTATTAAATCGTATTTATTTATTAATAATGTCATATTCTTATAAATGAATGAAAAGATACATAATGAAATATTTCACATTTATTTGGTTCTATTTCTATTCTGTTCTATGGATCCATATATTTGTACATCATTATAATATTCTTAATTATTAGGGTTTTATTAAATATATTAAAATATATAAAAGGAGAGCATACCCTTCGTTAGCTGTCTTCCATATCCCCCAAAATTTGTATTTGGGTTTTATGAACTCATTTCTGTCTCACCAGTGATTACTAATATATACTTAGGAGTTGATTGTTACACTTAAAGGTAGCTATGATGAAACATGAGTTAATGAAGCAGAAGAAGCCAGGCTACATAATGAGAGAAGATTAAAATAACAGAGAAAGGGGGGAAAAGAAAAAAAAAAAAAGCAGATAAAGATTGCTTTGCTTCTGGAAATGGCAACCCAACTAACTCTCTTATTTTTTTCATAGCCAGGAAAGAAAACTTACTATCATTTCCAAATGACAAGCCTCAACCCAATTTAATTAGCTTTACCTTGAGATCCAGAGACCAATCCTGTTCTATGTAGCTTTATTTGACTCCTAACATCCCTTGATCTTTCTATTCTGTGGGGTGTTTCATTATCTAAAGCAAATATATACTACTTAAACATAAAAAATTGTAACATTATGAGGGGTGACTCATTACTGGTGTGTAATATCATGGTACCAGACATTACTAATATGTAAGGAGCATGAGCAGAAAGACACCAGCCTGTGTATAGCCATAGACTACTATGCTTTTAATTGTTTTGAGATTGAGTGTCTCAAGATCTAGATAAATCAGCAAGATGAAAGATGCTGAACACTGACATCTTCTTTGTGCCTTGTGAAAAGAAACAAATGACATCTCTGAGCTGCTTAGAAAAGAATTATACCTGGGATAGTGGTCAAGAGTGGGGAGATATATCTCAGGAGAGTCTCAGGTAGTTTGAGTTTTTTTCCTGTTCCCTTCATAACAAACATGATTCACAGCAACCATTGTAGTATTATCAGTAAACAAGGCTCCTGTTTACATGGTGACCTGAAATAGACCCTGTAGCCAGACATATCCATCCTTCCTTGTTCCAAACACACAAATTTTACTATACTGCCTTTGTAGTCACTACCATTTTCCTTCAATGGAGTTACTTTCTTCCTGCAGTAATCTCATAGTAATTTGTACACTCTTCTCAAACAATCAACCTCAAAAGGATCTACCATTTGTTGGACACCTAATACTTCTTTTGAACACTTGATCTCATTTTATCTCAGCCTCTCTGCCCAAAAAATCATCTAGATTGATATTACTGCTGTCATTTTTCAGGCTAGATGCTGAATCCTATTTCTAGCTGAAGCTTAGGCCATAGCTTCACTTCAGGCTGCAGCAGAATAAGGGAAGGGAAGAATCTGAGTCCCCTGGCTTCCACTGGGGTGGGGAGTTTCCTCAGAGATAGGGAGAATTCTTCCAACCAAAGGAAATTTGGGAAATATTAGGAAACAGGATTATCTGCTGAGAAGGACAAAACCATTCCACTGTAAATCAATTGATTAATCCACATACAAACAACAGGTTTTCTTGCACAGGAAAAACTCTGACACATATTTTACTTTACTTTTGTCCTTAAGGACCTGATGATAGGCCTAGGTACACCATCTACTTCACATTTTTCTAATCTTCCTGTTTAATGTCGCAATCAAACAAGAAAAGAAGCAGCTTTACTTGTTCCTTGTAAACCATGTTGTCCCTCAGTGATGCCAGCATCTTCCACTGGCTCATATTGACCAATATTTCATACAAGTGTTCTTGCACCTTGCAGTTGCACCTAGCATCTTCCTGATTTACAGTCTCAGAACTCGCTCTGTAGACACCTTTTTTTTTTCTAAACTGAAAACGTACCGTTTGTTTTCCATCTTCCTGTAACTCCTCTAAGAAAGCAGATGGTGGATCAGATCTCAGGCCAAAGTTCTCTCCAGATATGGGATATAATCCAAGCAACCTGGTACCTGGGAACTCATTTTTACTCCTGTGAGCTCTTATCCATCATTCTGGACTTCAGCAGCTGCTCTTCAGCGTCTGTTTATTCTTTTCTACTGAACTCCCTTCTCTTTGACAGAAAGCGTGGCTACAGAAAACATTCTGACTAATTCTGTTTGGGGTCAGTCATGAATAACTTTATTCCAACAGCTTCCAATGGCAGGCAAATCCTTTCCCGGTTTTACATACTAATGTAAAATAATTCTCAAGGATAAATCTATGCTTAACATATTCAAATTAAACTTTCCAGTCAGATAATATATTCTCCTTAATGTGCCCAGTGTATGTAGTTCGTAGTATACACTAACTGCAATCTACTGATTTATTTGATTGTGCACCTAAAATATACAAGTAGTACATTTCACAAGTAAGTACAAATTCTTCTTTTCAGAGTGGAGAAAGAAATATATGGATCCTGTCCTCATGGAACTTATACAGATGATAACTAACACTAGTTACTACTTAATTTAAAAGTGGTACAAAGTACCAGGAAGTAAATGTCCAGAATGCAATAATGATATGTAACAGTGAAACAAACTGGACCTTGTTGGAGAGAAGGTTTTCAGGAATATATTCATTCAGTCATTCATTCAACACTTGCTGTGAACCAAGCACTACTGTTTTTTTTTTTTTCTTATTTGGAAAAAAGCTGCATATTTCATTGACTCTTCTGAACAAAGGTCATTAATACAAAAGCACTTGTAAGTTGCTTTACCTGGGGAAAGTATTTTGGTGATTTTTATCTAGGTGAAGTTTTCTGGGCTCAAAAATCTTTTCCTAACAGGTTGATTTTAATAACAGTCCAAACTATTCCAAAACAAAACAAAACTGTTTTCCTCTCTTCCTAAACAGAAACAATGGCATCCGGAGCTGAAAATAGCGTTAATTACATGAAAAGTTTGTGATGCACAGGATTTGCTCTGGAGTATGAAAAGTGTGTCTTAGACTTATGTTTATACTCACATAAAATGAGCAAAAAACGATAGTCCTCTTCAGGAAGAGATTATCTGATGAAAATCTGCAAAGATACTTCAATCTTTCTATGTACTGGAGAGTTTATGAAGCCCCAACCACTGTTCTAAGTAGTGAGACACTTTACCACTTTTTGTACACGTGTTGGGTTGGAGAGTGACAGATTGAAAATAAATATGGAAATTACTGAATAAACTTATCAGACAGTGATAAGGTAATTCAGTAGAGAATGATTAGATTGCTACTTTATTCTGAGTTTCACTAGAGAAGAAATATTTAAACTGAGATCTGAATAACAAGAAAGAAAATTCTTCGGGGAAGGAGCATTCCATAGGGAGAAAACATCCATGGAAAAGACCTTAAGCCTGGGATAAACCTGATATGCTCAAAACAAAATAAAACATACACACAAAATGTCAGAATGAATGATGCAATATATTGGATGAAGAGGAATGTGATCATATCATTGTCATCCTAATGACGACCCCTTTGAGAGTGAAAGGAGATGATGCTCTGTATAATAATAACCAGGCCACAAGCAGGCATGCAGCCCCTTCTGGTTGAATAATTGAGAAACGAAAGTCTGCTAGAAGGAGAGGCTCAATAAATATTTGTTGAAGGAAGGAATAATTGCTCTCACTCTAATGGAATTTTTTTTTAAATTTCTTAACAAATTGATTTAATTAAATCTAGTTCTAGATGTATTTATATTTTAAAATATTTTAATTTGGGCATTTTTGGCTTGATTTGGTCAGTGTCTTTGTTTTTAGAGCTCCAGATGGCTCCAAAATATTTTTGTTCTCAGCCTTTCTCTATGTTAATACTATCAGTGAGGCCAACTTAGACAGGTGTCCCATGTGAATTGCAATTATTTCACCTCAAATGGTTTGTCTTACCCTAGTCAAAACAAAGCAGCTTTGATTTACTACAGTTGAGGTAGAAGAGAGATTGCTGAAGGTTACAAGCCTGATTCTGCTTTTATTGTGTCATTTGAGGTTGACCTTTATGCTCCAGTAACCTCCCTGAATCTGTGTTTTTCCAAGTGTCTGTAATGCTCAGTGTTGGGCATAGCCCTGGATGACACTTTCAGATGAGGAAGTCTGCTGAACATCTGGCTAAAAAGCAAGTTTTGGAGAGCATTTTAGGACTTAAAATATAAAGTCTAACAGTTTTCTGTATTATAAATGACCAGATCAGCATCTATAGATGTATTTTTATGAGTAATAAAGTATAAGGGGAAAGGCTTGCAGAGAGAAAAAGCAAGGAAGAGAAGTATGTCAATGAATACAAATTCTCTCATTTGATAAGAAAATGTAAAATTATGAATAAATGTATGACATCTCATTGCAAGATATGATAAGACTCAATTTCCCCTGTTTATTGTCACCGAATATCTAGGAAACAAAAATTTTCAGGACTTCAGTATTTTAGCAGGAAGAAATCTAGTGACTATAGATTGCCTACCCCTCACCATCTCACCAGTGAAGGTCTTGGTCAGTAGTCTGTAGCTCTCCATTTTCTGCCCCCTAAATGTGTCTTGCAGTGAGTGGTCAGTGGTCAAATGAATGGAACAGTAGAGGCACTTCTATATCAGCATGAAAAACCAGTGAAATGCTGTCTTGCCAATACTGTGTATACAGAGAGACATTTATAAAATAATAAGCAGGTAAAACTTGTCTTGGCAAAAGGCTGGCTCATTACATTCAGTGAATGTTAAAAAAAAAAAAAAGTCCTCTGTGGTGATAAGTAAAATAGACCATCACCACCCAAATCAAGCCACATTAACATCTTGAACTGCTATGCTTTGGATATGGTTTGTCCCTGCCAAAACTCATGTTGAAATTTGATCCCCAATGGGGCAGTGTTGGGAGGTAGGACCTAGTGAGAGATGTTTGGGCCATGGGGGCAGATCTGTCATGAAGAGATTAATGTCCTCTTACAAGTAAGTTCTCCATCTAAAGGGAATGGGTTAGTCTGGTGTTAAAAGGAGCCTGGCTTTCTTGGTCTCTCTCTCTCTCTCTCTTACTTCCTCTCTTACTACGCAATCTGTTTGCATATGCCTACTCCCATTCTACTTTCTGCCTTAAATTGAAGCAGCATGAGGCCCTCACCAGATGCAGCTGATACATGCTGAGAGTAAATTAAACCTTCCAGTCACCAGAATTGTTAGCCAAATAAACCTCTTTTGTTTGTAGAAAATCTTGAACTTTCCAGTCACCAGAATTGTTAGCCAAATAAACCTCTTTTCTTTGTAGATTGCCCAGACTCAAAAATTCTTTTATAACAACTCTAAACAGAGACATTAACCAACAGCAGGAGTTAATGAAACCAAAAGTATGTCATGAGGACAGAAAATGTCAAATATTTTACCAAAATCTTTGGGAAGTCTTTCAAATGTCAAACCAATCACATCACTGAGATCCTGCACATAGAGCTCCTGGTTACCTCTTGACACAGGTAGCACCCTCTAAAGTGAGAGCACCAGTGGTGATATCCTTAGCCAAAGTGATGAGAAGTTGTATGTTCCAGCAAAAGTAGCATAACACAAAAACATACAAGTGTTTGAGACAAAGAAGACTCTTAACCAGGGTTCCTAGCTTTCATTGAGAAAATCCTCTCAATACATCCTTATCACTCAAAAAATTGAAATCCATTATAATAATAATCATACTAATCTATTGATGAAATAATAAGAAACAGCGGAAGGAAGGATGGTAGGTAACAGTCGGCACAAGACACACAAAGAGGAAACTCTATGGGTTCTGCATGCGTGAGTTGCTGAAAATGAGCTTTAAGGTTAAAGCCAGGAGTTTGGAATTAATGTGTAGCATGTGAAATATAAAAAACTCCATTCAATGCCCTCAATTTTATCAGAGGATTAGGGTAACCTCCTGGATACTTGCAGAAAAAAGAAAGCCAGCAATAAGCATTTGGCTGTGGCTTGGAGGTTTAATTTACTCTCAGCATGTAGCATGGGAACCTTTTTGCCTGAGTTGAGAAAATAGCCTATAAACTAGCACCACAACCCCAGAAAAACACAGGGCCCCAGTAGAGACAAACAGAAGAACTTCCAACAGAGATGCCCACAGCCAAAAGCACATCTGGTCTCTAAAGAATAACTCATGATGCTAGTGATCTCACAGGAAAAATTACAACAAAGATAAGAAAAAAGCATATAAGAAAATCTTCATAAGAGAATTGTCAGCAGATGTAGAAATCAATCCAGAATGCAGCCAAAGAGAAAACATGAACAATGTGTGAATTAAAAGCAGATAAATATAGCATACCAAATACCAAGGAAGAGAAAAACATTACTCTGATAATTAATAGCGAAGCATAATCATCAAAAAGGCAAAGTACCACTATCGTCTCTGTCATCTAACTTCATACTGAAGCTTTAAGTAAGCCTAATAACAGAATAAGAAAAAAGAGAAAGAACATTACAAAATGAAATAAAACTATATTATTCTGCATTACAGAGGCTATGGTTTTATCTACTTAGAAAATAAAAAAATAAATAAATAGAGAATAGCTACCAAAACTAAAGAACTAATAAAATCAGCATACAGAAGACAGTCTTACATACAGACAACTATAACTAATTAGAAAATATAATTTTAACAGATTTTTTAATAAGAAATCTATTACATTTTCTGATTTTATTAGTGTATGTACATGGCAATGGCATACATAATTAAATGTATATTACAAATGTAAACTAAGTATATATTGTAAAAAAATTAAAAATATCATATTCCCAACAGCTTCAAATGTTATATAACGTAGACTCTCAGGAGACTAGGTACTCTTAGAACTAGAAAAAAAAATTCAATAAATAGCACTGAGGAAATTGGGTGCCCACATGAAAATAATTAAATGTATTTCATATTTTTAAAAATCTACAGATGACTTGAGCTAATTATAAAAAAAACTCTAAAACTTTGAGAAGAAAATATAGAATATTTTATGATATATAGCAAAAATGTAATATTTTCAAGGAAGAAAGTAAAACATATCGAAACCAAAGTTAAAGCAAACTGACTTCTATTTTATCAAGGCTTATCTAAAAACACAATAGCAATTCTTCAGAAATATCTGTGGAACCCTTCTAAATTAATTATAACCTCACTATAATAAAAAAGTAATATCTTCAAGAAAATAAGGCATTTTTAGAGACCATTTGTAGCCATAGTGCAATAAAACAAGAAGCAAAAACAAAGTAACAGAAAATAACCCAAATACTTTCCTATTCCAACAAACAAAAACCAAAACTCTTCTAAAGAATCCTTAGCTTAAATTGGAATCAAAGCTGCAATAACAAACATTTTGTTAGAAAATAACAGTAGACAATCATCATTTAAATTCTGTTGATAAAGTGCTCAGCATAAAAACCTGAGACTGAATTGCTACTTTTCAGTAAAAACAACATAAACCAGAAGTCAGAAATAATTTTAAGAGAAGGAAAATCAAAAGTCAATGCATTTGAAAAAATAAAATTAATAAAATATATAAAATTAAGAAATAAATCAGTTTGGCTTGTAATAATTCCAGTAATGGAATGAAATAATTATTTAGAAAGCAAGGAAAAACATAAATGGAATGCTTCTCAGTATTTTCAAAATAAAAAAATTAAGTTAAAATTATAAAACATATATATGTGTATGCACAAATATAAATTGTATTTTTTTCTTTTTCCTTTTTTTCTTCTTTCTTCCTTTCTTCCTTCCGTTCTTTCTTCTTTCTTTCTTTCTCTTTCTTTCTTTCTTTCTTTCTTTCTTTCTTTCTTTCTTTCTTTCTTTCTTTTCTTTCTTTCTTCTTTCTTTTCCTTTCTCTCTTTCTTTCTTTCTTTTCTTTCTTTCTTCTTTCTTTTCCTTTCTCTCTTTCTTTCTTTCTTTTTTTTTGATAGGACCTCACTCTGTTGCCTAGGTGGGAGTGCAGTGGTGCAATCACAGCTCACTGCAGCCTCCGCCTCGCCAGCTAGGTTTTTGGATTGTTTGCAGATATGGGTTTTCACCATGTTGCCCAGGCTGGTCTCAAACTTCTGGGCTCAAGCAATCCACCCACCTTAGACTCCCAAAGTGCTGGGATTACAGGCATGAGCCACCACACCCAGCCACAAATAGAAATTTTCCAATTTCCATTATGAATGAGAAAAATGAATAAAACAAGAATTATAAAATTAAATTTTTCAAACGCTAATTAAAAATACTTGAAAAGTTTACCAGCCCCAATGTTTATATAATTCCATGCCATTTAAATTACTTTAAAGCATAGGCCATACAATGCAAACTCAATTCATTGAATAAGACACACAAATGATACATGAAATCTGACAGTGATAGCAATACATTGAATATATAAATCAATTTGAATTATGAATAGTAATGCAGAAATGTGGAAATCAGTTCTTCCGTATACATATATACATTTGCATGCATGCCTGTGTGTCTGTGTATACTTGATTCTAAGGAATGAATGAAAATAATAGTTAACAAAATAGCCTAGACTTTATTCAATGTATTCAACTCTTGTCTTCAATATATTCCACTGAGAATGTTGTAGTTATAACACTATATCCTGTACCAAGCTTTCCATGTCAACTAGCTTTTTGTTTAGTCACGCATAGTATGCTGTGGTTTGAATGTGTGCCCCAAAACCCATGTTGAAGTTCAGTTGCCATGGTGATGATATTAAGAGTCAGGGCCGTTAAGAGGTGATTAGTCCTGAGGGCTCTGCCCTCATGAATGGATTAATGCTGTTATTGTCCATCTCCTCTTTAAAATGATGCATCCAAAAGTCTCTGAAATGCATTTGATTTGTATAAAGAGTTATTGCCAAACTGCCCTTTTCAGTGACAACATTTATACACTAACAAACATGGTTTTTTGTGACACCTGATTCTTGCCCAGTGTTTATGGGGTACAGTGATTTCATGAAAAGCACACCTAGCTGAAATTTGGGGAACAATTGTTTCATGTAGAAAGAATGAATCTTAGATTGTATTAAAATTCAAATATGCCATGACAAACAGCGACCTTTTCCAGAGGTTTTGTAATAATCACTCAGCATGAGGATGTCAATTAATAAATATGTGAAAGCACATTGATAGGCCACAGGAAAAATTCATGTAACCATCCTGAAATGCAGAAAGTATTAAAGAAATATCCATTTATCCTTAAAGACTCTTAGTAAAATATATTTGAAAAGTACTTTCCTCATATAATGAAAGATAATTATCTAAAATAAATTGACAAATATCAAAATAGCAATAGAATTATAGAGGAATTCCTCTTAAATTTAAAACAAAACTTAGACTTGTAGCATAAAACAAAGAAAAATAAAATTTAAAAAACTATTTTGGATTGCTGACCAAATTAATAACAAATAATCAAAATAATTAATATACGAGTAAAGAACATTATCAATATGTGCAGTTTTTTGTACTTGGAAACCCCAAGATAAATGAGAAACAACTTTGAACACTTCCCATGTTCAAAAAAAAAAGTGACTGACTTTGAAATCTTCATACAAAAATCATTTAATTTATAATGTCTTATCTGTCCAGTATGGTGGCCATTGGTCATATGTGGCTGTTGATCATACAGAATGTGTCTAGTCCAAATTAAGATGCTCTGCAAGTAAAATATGTGTATTAGAATTCAAAGACTTCATGTAGAAAAAAAGAAATGTAAAATAACTCATTTTACTTTTTAATTTTTATTAGATGTTGACATGATAATATTTGGACATATTGAATGAAGTAAAATATGTTAAAATTAATCCATCTGTTTCTTTTTACTCTTTTAATGTGGATAGTGGAAAATTTTTAATTGCATACATGGCTTGCATATGACTCACATTATATTTCCTTTTTCTTTTTTTTTGAGACAGAGTCTCAGTCTGTCACCCTGAAGTACAGTGGAGTGGTCTTGGCTCACTGCAACTTCTGCCTCCCAGGTTCAAGAGATTTTTCTGCTTCATCCTCCTGAGCACCTGGGAATACAGGCATGCGCCACCACACCCAACTACTTTTTGTACTTTTAGTGGAGATGGGGTTTTGCCATGTTGACCAGGCTGGTCTCGAACTCGTAGCCTCAAGTGATCTGCCCGCTTCAGCTTTCTAGAGTGCTTGGATTACAGGTGTGAGCCACCAGACCCGGCTTCACATTATATTTCTATTAAACCACATTGCCCTATGCAAATTTTTTTTTTTTTTTTTTTTTGAGACTTAGTCTCGCTCTGTCGCCTAAGTGCAGTGGTGCAATCTCGGCTCACTGCAACCTGTGTTCAAGCGATTCTCCTGCCTCAGCCTCCCGAGTAGCTGAGATTACAGGCACCCACCGCCACGCCTGGCTAATTTTTGTATTTTTGGTAAAGACAGGGCTTCACCATGTTGGCCAGGCAAGTCTCGAACTCCTGACCTCAGGTGATCCGCCCACCTCAGCCTCCCAAAGTGCTCCCAAAGTACTCCCAAAGTACAGGCATGAGCCACCACACCCAGCCAGCAAATAAAAAATTTTTAAAAAAGATAATATGATAGGGAAATTATTTCTTTTTGTAAAAGCAGTGCAAAGTCAGTAAACTCTAGGTATAAAAATATAAGATAGTATAAGATGCTGCAGCAACTGTATGATTAAAACTATGAAGCTATGTTTTGGGCTGTGTGTGTGTGAGACAGAGAGAGCAACAGAAAGAGAGGAAAGAAAAGAGAGAGAGAGAAAGACAGAGAAGAAGGTTCCTGCCATGCTCCTTATTTGAAAATCATGTCATATGACAAAGTGTAGTTTAAATTATACTGCCTAGAACTCTTTATTCAGTATGATCCAATATCAAATTATCAATATTATAAAGAAGGAAATGCTTGCTAAAGTGATTGGTAAATTCAATACAGTTTTCATTAAAAATATATTTTGGAAAGGGTTTGAACTATTTTAAAATTCTTCAGAATAAACACCTGAGAAAACCAGAACAAAAACCAGTACCTATGAACAATAGAAAATAAAGAAGACATTTTAACTAAGTAAGAAAATAATGCATTATTTAATATTGGGCTAGCTCTCTAACCATATGGAAATGAAAGTATAAAATTCAATTATTTTTCTTACAATTCACACAAAATAAATTTTAGAGGATTAAAGTTTTACATATGATACAATGACAAAGTAATATAAGTAAACCAAACAATCAAAAATATAATCTTATTGGATGGAAAGCATACTTACACATGATACAAATGTTAGAATTATTATAGAAATGATTATAAATAAACAGAAAGTGAAATGGGATAAGTTGTTCAACCTCACTGTAGCGAAGAAAATGCAAACTAAAGGATGCTAATTACTCAGAAATTGAAATTTATCACCATTCATTAAATTAACACTATTTTCCAGGAGAAGTGACAAATACCAAAGGTAGGAATATAGGAATGAAGATGTTATAAAGAAAAAAGCCATAACAAACAATCAATTCAGTAATTCATTTTACTTTTCTCTTTTCCTCATGCAAGTTCCCTTTGATGGAAAATTATTGTTGGAGGAATGTGGTATCCTGATCCAAAATGATAATAATGTGGTATGCATATAACTATTTACTTTCTTGTAATGTGTAGCAAGGTTTGTAGACTGAATTTTAGTTTGTGGAATGAATAAATATCATCTATATGAACATGATTTTTTGAATTATTTTGAAATGTCAGCTCTTAACTGACATAGCAAGTCATCTCTAAGTAATAAAATTTAATATCAGATTTGATTTCCACTCAGAATTTGTGTGTTTAAGGTTTTCATTGCAAAAAAGATAATATAGCTTTGCAGAAGTTAGACAGTTATTTCCTATTCAATTGCTTTGATGTGCCTATTTCTTTGAACAAAATCTCTTTTTAAATGCTCTTTTGATATGTGAGCTCATGGTTGCTCTGAAATTAATCCCAAATGCAAAATGCTCGTGAAGAATTTAGAGTTTGCTAAAAGTAGTTATTTTGATACATTTGTTGATATTTTCTTGATAGGGAATGAACCATAATTTACTTTAATTATTTTTACGTGTGAATGTACGAAAGTAAACAGCAGCAACCACCACTTTCTAAAGCAGAAAGTATTTTGTGGCCAGGTTTTCTCTTGGCTCTTAGGAGGGCCTTCTCGTCTTTATTGTGATGCTGACATGTGATACAGACAATGAAGACTGAAGTGGTCAGCCTGAACAATAACAAAAATGACCACAACTAGTCACAGACTTAGAAAACACTTCTTTCACACTTTTGTCTATAAAGATCTGCTTATATTGAATGGAAATGAACCCTAAAAATAGTCTAGTTTAAGGATAAGGATCACATTTTATAATTTGCTTGAGGTTGGTTGGGCTAGTAGCTAATTTAAATATAGGTCTAAATGTTCTAGTATAACATTGTTTCTCTTATCCTTTCTGTGGTCTTGCTAGTGGGGATGGAGTGTGGGTAGAGTTATCTTGTAGTTCAGCTATTAGAAAACTGTTTCTTCTTCATCCCAGAATAAATCTTCTACATCAAGTAGTACGCTGATTACCTTCTGTAATTAAAGACAAAAATGTATACATGTATTTCCTATTTCATCAGTCAGTTTGACTGATATCTGACTCCTTACTTATTAAATGAAGATATTAGCATCCTTAGTCTTTTTTTTAATCTCTCTTCCCTAGGCCCTTCTGTCTTCCCATTTCTGTTGTTTGTTAAGAACACTTAAATATAGCGTCACCATAAATATATTTTTCTTACCTTACTCATAGGTATATTTTGAAATCTAGTACTCTACGAAGACTAATCACCTTAATATGTGGATATATTGTGGATATATATATATATGATATATATAAATCCTTATATATATATATAAGGATGATATATATAAATCCTTAATATGTGGATACAATGATCCATTGTAAAATCAAGTATGAAATTTTGATTATATTTCCTTTCAGTATAGCTTCTTGGATTGTTGGTCCAGCTAGCAACTCTATTAATTCTCTCCCTCCAATACTCACAGTGACCAGTTATTTCACCTTGTCTCCTGGAGCACCCATCTATCACACAAACAGATACCTTCTCAATCTGCTGCCTGCATGTCTTCTTGGGATTTATCTGCACTGTTTGCCTGGGTTGCGTACTTCATTTTTGGATTTTCTTGCTTTCCTGTTTTTAATTTTGTTTTTCCTCCTTTGGCTAAATAAGGACCATATATTCCCTGAGTATTTCTAGAGTGTCTGAAAAATGTCTTTATTCTATGCTCACACTACCAGGATCTTTTAGCATTTTTCTTCACGGGTTCTTTTAATCTAGAGATTCCTGTTCATCTGCTCTATTAAATACACTTTATTATGGTCTGGATAGTTTTCATCTCTACATTTTATTTTTTCTTTTCTGTTTTCTCATTCTTAAATTTCTCTTGGTTGGCTATTGGATCTCCTGGATTGGTTTTCTTAATCTTATTATCTTACCTTTTCCCAGTCTTTGTCCATTTCTTTTATTTATTGAGAAATGTTCATATATTCCTAGTCTTTTATTTATTCTTTTTATCTTAACTATAACACTGTAAATTCCAAGATATCAGATGTCTCCTTTCCTCAGGAATTTCCATTACATTTTACAGGTGAAATACTTTTTTTGAATGTCTCTAAGGATATTACTGTTGGTAATATAATATTTTCTTATTTTCTATGAATTATCTCTGTTCTCTCTCTCTCTCTCTCTCTCTCTCATCCTCTGTTCATGTTTAAGAGTAAAGTATGAGGAGTTCTTTGAGAACTCTGCGTATGTCCATAGTGCTCCTCACCTTGGAGCAGGCCTTCATTTTAAGATGCTTGACTTGGAGCTGGTGTCATTTTGGAGGCCCCCAGATACCAGAATGTCACTGGAGTCACACTCTCTCAACAGATGGCCTTCCAGGCTCCTTTCTAAAGGCGGATGCCTGACCACTGACTGTTGCAAGTCAAGAGTAGGAGAAATGTGTCTAGGAGTACGTATTGTATCTGTCCCCCTCCCCACTTCATGTGTTCAGTTCCATGTCTTTCTTTCACTTTCACGTGTACTAGGCACGTTTTTAGTCTCAGACTTCTCTGTGGTTTTACTAGGAGAGCTGTCTCACTTCTCAGTTGTGTCCCACACTGCATTTTTCTCCATCCCAGTTCAATAGTTACCACTCTTCCATGGACATGTGGCCTTCAAGAGTTTATAGAAACTTTTTATACCCTGATGGTTCTTTATCAACCTCTTGTTTGTCGTAGTGACCTATTTTTTTATACTTACATTTATTTGGTTCCCATGAAGGAAAGAAAATAGATGCATGTGGTTAATCCCTCATCCTTAGGCTAGAAGTTACCCCAAGAAATTTTAATTTCCATGTTAATAACCCACCTAGCACCAAGTAATTGTAGAGATTTTCATCTCTTCAAGAAAACAGATAAAATATTTGTCTCATCTTCTGGCTTTCTGTATGCAGTATATAAAACATTTTTCTTTCACTGATAGCAATTCATGTTATTAACTATTTTAATGATATAAAATATCTCACTTTATTTTAAGTAATTTAATTTTATCTCTTTCATCTGATTAAGATAGATTTTCTAGCTTCTTAAGTTGTTTAATGCAAAGACAAGGCTTTTGACAGAAAATCCATGTCACAGTCTAGGAAATAGCTTTTTTGTGTGTGTACCTACATTTCTGACGTTCAAGTTTGTTCCCAAATTTAAACTCAACCCTCAAGCAATTTGATTTTTGAACAAAAAGAAATGTTATATGTGTTCTCTTTCTATGTATTTAAGATTCTATACGCTTTAAGAAGCAATTACTAATAAAACTGAGATTCTAACAGTCAAAATTGTCAGTAGTTTTATCATCATCTTTGTCAGTCTTTGACGACTACAGATGAAAGGCTCCAAATTGTACTAGATTATTTGTAACATTTTAACCCATAAAGAAAATGGAAATAAATAGTTTGTGAAATATGGTTATCATTACCAACCTATATGTTTTTGCCATTAGAAGTCATTTTAACTTTTAGTACATAACAACTAGGATATTACATAATTCTCATGTGACTTCTATTCTTTTTACCACCCTAGAATACCTGAAGCACCAGTTCAAAGGCTGAGTTGTACTTACATATTCTAAATGTTTCCATAGTTCCTGCAAATATTGACTGATATCTTGAGAAAATATACCTTCAAGAGTTTAATCATTTACCTTAAATTGAAAATTTGTATTTTAATGGATTCTGGGCTGAATTATGACTGTCGATTTTAAATAACTTTAATTACTTGAATTTAGGAAAATTAATAACATAATTTCAATATTAAAAAAATATTTTGAGATATATTTCTCAAGTATAATTTAAGAGTAAAGCAGTTCTTATCACTGTGATATGTGTTTAGGATATGTGTGATTCAGATTGCTGATTTTAACAAATAACTATTCTGCACAGTGAAGTAGAAAGCAATAGACTAGGATTAGAAGACTAAATTTTAAACCTCAGCTGTGAAAAATCAGAAGTCTAAAAATTACTAGCACAAGTCAAAAAATCAAGCCTTTCTTTTCTCCTAAGTGTGGATTTATGTAATTCTTCCTACATATCTTTTTTTCTCTATCTAAATTGTATAAATATAACCAAATATAACATTTTTTGTGTACACGCTCAGACATGTATACCTAATACAGTGTTTAAGACCTGCAAGATTTCATTGATGAACAAGTTGCTTTGCTTGATATTAATAAACTTGCCAATTTAGGACGTGATGCAGACCCAGCCCTCATTTCTGTAAGGATTGAATCCTGAGTCTGTAACTTAGCCAATCATAATGTTATTAAAGTAGAAATATTCTGTACTTAGTGTGGGATATAAGTGTATATAAAGCAACCATGAACTCCACACCTTTAATGAATAGAATAAAAATGAGTCATTATATTATTCTTATTTATTTAGTTTTTACATGTACTCTTACTCTCCATTCTGTTTTTTAAATATGAAAATGAAATAGCAGCATGACTATGCATAGTATTTCAACTACAATAAATTATAAAAGTGAAAGGCTTACATTTTAATGATTATAATAATTTAGAAAGGCATTTCAAAACTTTCCATTATTTTCTATTCAAGTACTTTAGTAAAATGGGTGGGTATATCAAGAATCTTAGCAGAGTTTACAAGACACTATTCCTGGTGAAGACCCCTCTTTCCAAAACCCTGTTGTGAACAAAGTCACGTTCTTACTCACAGCTCTATTCTTGGAAACACATTATTTTGCAAATTCCTAATACGACGATTTTCTAAAACCGTCAACACAAACGGACATCCTAGTTTGTACCAGAATATGTCTCCCTCAGGAGGTGGCTTGGGCTTCTCTGCCATGGCTGACAGACATTGTAGAAGCAGAGAGTCCTGAGAAAAACAGAAAAGCCCTCAGATCAGAGGAGGAAAGAAACAAACACTAGGAGGTGTTTTGGCAATTTAAACATATTCCAGGTTAAGCAGCATCAGAATGGACACCAGGGTAGACCATAACCTCAGAAGGGCATAGTAGATATGATAGAAATGTAGGCTGAGATTGGAGATAAGGGCTGGCAGGAAACTCATTGTCCTCCTTGGAGCTAAGTGGAGCAAAAAATGGAACTCTATTTTGGGTGTCTTGGACAAGGAACAGAATACTCAGGAGCTCTAGGGAAAAATGGAATTCGGGTCTCCCCTGGGGACATTTATCAGAATGAAGAGAAAAAATAAACAGGCAGCTGCATCCTAAAGGTATCAAGTGAGCCTCTGGCATGAACTCCCTGAGAGTTGGTTTAGCAAAAGTAGTAATAATGTGCAGATTTGTGGGACAAAGCTTTTTGAATTAATGATCCAAGGATTTATCTCTGGCTCCTGGATGGTAATGAAAGATCATGCAAGTGTCTCAGTACAACCAGCTAGGGTGAGTTAGGATGAAGCAAAGGGTGCCAGGCAGATTAACATTCTGGTATAAATTTGTTATACTTTTATCACCTTCCTTCTTAAACAAGTTACTAATCTTGGAAAAATTAGAAATAATATGAGATAAAATTTGACATGCTCTTAATGAACTGATCAACTTCAATGATCTAATCGAGTCATATGAATGAAGTATTCTTTTTAACGTTAAAAAATGAAATGTTTTCAAGTGATTAAAAATTTAAAAGAAGACATAAAATAAAGCCAGTATTTTATTCTATAACCACCTATGTTGGGATGTAAATCATAGGTACTATAGTTGCTGACAAGGGTTCCATTCTGGTGTATGGAAAGGCATCCCACAGTTATAGTCAGGCTCATTTACTGTGGACTCGTGATGCCCCCAGCAGTCTGGCTGATCTTCAGAAGTGTGGCAATCTGTTCTTATTCCATGTAAGTTTGTCTACCAAGCTGGTTGCCGCAGAGGGAAAAACATTCTTACTGCTTAGAGGAAAATAAACTTATTCACTTAATTATTCATTCAACACTTACCAAAATTATTAATACTTAATCAGTGCTAAGTCCTGGATGAGCTATTCCTCATTCAATGAAGAATTGATGAATCACTATGTTATAACATTAGTGGCTGACATCAAATTGTCCATCTCAATAGCACTTCAAGCAAACAAACAATAAAAGTGAGCTCATTATTTTTTTTTCCTCCCAATTCTGTTTCCTTTGACATTTATATCAACATTCACTCTGTTGTCTAAATCAATTTTGGATTTACCTTTGATTTCTCCCTCTTACTTAACACTCATATTCAAACAAATCTTTGTGCTTTATTTATTCTTCATCTAAAAGTACTTCAAAATCTATTTCCTTCTTCATTGTCATCTCAGTTTAAACTCTACCATCCTTCCACATGGGATTATGAATATTGTCTCCCAGCCAACTTCTTTGCCTTTCTCTTTTGTTGAATTAACTTTTGATGTCTACTTTTTTTCAAATTTTGAGGTAAGCTAATTTTATTCTTTTTTAACATAAATTTTATTATGCATATTTGAGGTTTATAACGTGATGTTATGGGATACATACAGAGGGTAAAATGGTTACTCTAGTGAAACAGATTAGCAGATCTATCATCTAACATAGTTACTCTGTTTATCTGCTTCTAGGAGTCAGAAAACATATAGTTACTTTTCATTCATTCATTCATTCATTCATTCATTCATTCATAATCTACTCATTTAATGAGAATTCTTAGTACAATACAATTTTATTAATCATAGTTGTCATGTTGCACATTAGATCTCTAGACTTGCTTAATCCTATATATCTGTCACTTTGTGTCCTTTCCTGTATCTCCCCTTTCCCCACTCCCTTGTGCCCTTAATAACCACTGTTTTATTCTATATCTCTGTATATTTGTCATCTTTTTTTTCCAAATATTCCACATATAATTGAGATCATGCAATATGTTTTCTGTCTGTGTTTGGCTTATTTCACTTAACATAAGGTCTTCTGGGGTCATCCATGTCGTAACAAATGGCAACGTCTTCCTTTTAAAGTATTACCCATGGTTTCCAGTTTGCTTCCATATCTTTTTTTTTTTTTTTTTTTTTGAGATGGTCTCACTCTATCACCCAGGCTGGAATATACTGATGTGATCATAGTTCATTGCAGCCTCGACCTCCTGGGCTCAAGCAACACTCTGACCTCAGCCTCCCAAGTAGGTGGGGGAACAAACATGTGCCACCGTGACCAACTAATTTTTTATTTTTTGTAGAGACAAGATCTCCCTATGTTGCTCAGGATGGTCTTGAACTCCTAGGCTCAAGTGATCCTTTTACCTCAGCTTCCTGAAGTTCTGGGATTATGATCATGAGCCACCCTGCAGAGCCTGTTTCCGTATCTTGGCTATTATGAATAATGTTACAGTGAACATGGAGTGAAGATATCTTTGTGAGGTGGCAATTTCATCTCCTTTATGTATATACCTGGAAATGAGATTGCTGAGTCATATGGTTGTTCTGTTTTTAATTTCTTTAGTAACCTCCATACTGTTTTTGATAATGGCTATACTAATCTACATTCCCGCCAACTGTGCACTGGGTTCACTTTCCAACTGGGTTCACCTTGCCAACACTTATTGCTTGTCTTTTAGGTCATAGCCATTCTACCAGGTGTGATGTGATTATATCCTAGTGATTTTAATTTGCATTTCCTTGATAATAAATGAAAATGAGGCCAAAATGAAATGTTGGGCATTGTTATGTCTTCTTTGGAGAAATGTCTGTTTAGGTCCTTTGTCCCTTTTTTCCTTGGGTCATTTGATTTTCAGCTATCGGGTTGTAAATGATCTTAATAAATTTTGGATATTAATCCCTTATCAGATATATAGCTTGCAAATATTTTTTCCACATTTGTAGATTGCCTTTTCATTTTGTTGATTGTTTCATTTGCTGTGTAGAAGATTTTTAGTTTAATATAGATCCATTTATTTATTTTTGTTTTTGTAGCTTGAAATTTACTTTTTCCTTTCCAATTTGGATGCTTATTGTTATTATTTTATCATCATTATTATCAATTAATTAATTTTCTTATCTTATATCTCTTGCTAGCACTTCCAGTACTATGTTGAATAGAAGTGGCAAGAGTGGGCATCTCTGCCTTGTACCAGATCTTGATAGAAAAGTTTACAGTTGTTCCCTATTGATTATAATGTTAGCTGTGAGATTTTCATTAATAGCTTTTATTATATGGAGAAACTTTTCTTCTGTACCAAAACTGTTATGTGTTTTTATCAAGAAAAGATACTGAACTTTGTGACACTTTTTTTCTGCAGCTGTTGAGCTGATCATGCTTTTATTTTTCATTCTGTTAATGTGATATATCACAGTGACTGATTTGCATATATTAAACTGGCTTTGCATGCCAGGGATATATCACACTTGGTCATCATGTATAATTTTTTTGACGTGTTGCTAAATTAGTTTTGCTAGTGTTTCATTGAGTATTGTTACATTAATGTTCATTAGACATAATTTTTTTGCTGTGTTGCTGAATTAGTTTTGCTAGTGTTTTATTGAGTATTTTTACACTAATGTTCATTAGACATATTGACTTCCAGTTTTCTTTTCCTGTGGGATCTTTCTCTAGCTTAAGTAGAAAGGTAATTCTAGCCTTGTAAGATGTTTTTGGAACATCCCATTATTTTGGGAAAGAGTTTGAGAAGGATTGGCAATAATTATTTGAATATTTGGCAGAATTCAACCATGAAGTAATCTGGCTCTAGGCTTTTCTTTGTTTAAAAGTTTTTAATGTCTTCTTCAACCTCTTTATTGTATTATTGGTTTGTTTAAGCTTCCTATTTTGTGTTGATTCAATCTTGGTAGGCTGTATTTTTTTTCTAGAAATTTGTTCATTTCCTCTAGGTTATCAATATGTTAACATATAATTGTTCACAATAGCCGATTATGATCCTTCTTTTTTATTTCTGAGGCATCTGTTATAAGGTCTTCACTTTCATTTCTATTTTATGTACTTGAGTCTTCACTCTTTTTTTCTTAGTCTAGTTAGATGTTTTTTGATTTTGTTTACTTTTTCAAAGAAACAACTCTTGGTTTTATTGATTTTTTTGTTTTATTTTTCTGTTCTCTATTTGATTTATGTTCTGATCCTTTTTATTCCCCAGTTTTATTTTCCTTTTTCTTTTTTCTTTTTTTTTTTTTTTTTTTTTGAGATGGAGTCTTACTCTGTCGTCCAGGCTGTTAATGTGGCATGATCTCAGCTCACTGCAACCTCTGCCTCCTGGTTTCAAGCGATTCTTGTGCATGCCTCAGCCTCCTGAGTAGCTGGGATTATAGGTGCTTGCCACCATGCCAGGCTAATTTTTGTATTTTTAGTAGAGACAGAGTTTTGCCATGTTGGCCAGGCTGGTCTTGAACTCCTGACCTCAAGTGATCTGCTGCCTCAGCCTCTCAAAGTGCTGGGATTATAGGTGTGAGCCACCGTGCCCAGCCTATTATTTCATTTCTTCTGATAAATTTGGGTTTAGTTTCGCTTCTTCACTGGTTCCTAGAGGCATAATATAGGGCTATATATTTGGGATCTTTTTTTTTTTTTTAAGTAGGCATTTCTTGCTATAAAGATTCCTCTAGAACTGCTTTTGCTATATCCCATAGGTTTTTATATGTTGTGTTTCTATTGTCATTTGACTCAATAATTTTTTGTTAAATTCTCTTTTGATTTGTTCTTTGACCAATTGGTTGTTCATGAGCATGTTGTTTAAATTCTTTATATTTGTGAATTTACCAAGATTCCTTCTGTTATTGATATCTAGTTTCATATACTTATAGTTCAAAATAATACTAGATATGATTTCTATCTACTCAAATTTTTTAATACTTGTTTTGTGGCATATATGGTGCATTCTGGGGAATGTTCCATGTGCACAAGAGAAGAATGTATATTCTGCTGTTGTTGTATGGAAACTTTTATACATGTCTATTAGGTCAATTTGGTCAAAATTGCATTTCAAGTTCTATATTTTCTCATTGATTTTCTAACTGGCTGATCTATTATTAATAGTGAGGTATTGGCATCCACTAGTATTATTATACTGTTGAAAGTGAGGTATTGAAGTTCCCTACTATTATTGTATTGTTATCTATTTATTATTTTATGTTCATTAATATTGGCTTTATGTGTTTAGGTGCTTTAGTGTTACCCACTCCCCTACAATTTATACTTTTGTTGTCACAATTTACATCTTTTTATCATATATTTCTTAATAGCTTATTGTAGCTATAATTGTGACCATTTTGACTTTTAACCTTCATAGTAGACACTTGAAATATTTACACATTGTCATTGCAGTAATGGAATATTCTGAATTTTACTATAAATTTATTTCTATCAGTGAGTTTTATACTTTTATATATTTCCATTATAGTAATTATAATCCTTTTATTTCCAATTGAAAAGCTAAACATTTTTTGTAAGGCAGTTCTATTGGTGATACATCTTCTGACATTTTGCATATCTGAAATAATTTGTTTCTCCTTCATTTTTGAAGAACAGCTTTATTGGCTATACCATTTTAGGTTGGCAGTTTTCTTCTTTCAGCACTTTGACTATCTTATCTCATTCTTTTCTGACCTGTGATATTTCTGCTGAGAAATCACTGATGATCTGATGGGGATTCCCTTTTATGTCACTTGACATTTTCCTCTTGCTGATTTTCCAATTTTCTCTTTGTCTTTGACTTTTGACATTTTGATTATAATATGCCTCAGTGAGCACCCCTTTGGTAGAATATGCTTGAAGACTTTTGAGCTTCATGGATCTGTATGTTCATATCTCTCACCCAACTTGGGAAGTCTTTAGCTATTATTTTGTCAAATAAGCTTTATGTGCCTTTTTCCATCTCTTTACCCTCTGAAACTCTCATAATCTGAATATTTATTCACTTAATGGTGTTTAATAAGTCCCATAGACTTTCTTTTTCTTCACTCTTTTTCATTTTTTTTCTCTCCGGGTTATTTTAAAAGATCTGTTTTCAAGTTCAGACAGACTTTTTGCTGCTTGATCTAGTCTGCTGTTGACTCTTACATGTACTTCTTATTTCATTCACCACCTTCTTCAACTCGCGTATTTCTGTTTGGTCCTTTCTTATATCTATCTCTTTCTTAAATTTCACAATCAGATTATGAATTATTTTCTTGATCTTACTGAATTGTCTATCTGTATCCTCTTGTATATCATGAATTCCCTTTATATGATTATGTATTCATCTTCAGGCAATTTGTAATTTTCATTTATATGGGGTTAGCTACTGAGGAACTGTTGTGTTTCTTTGGTGGTGTCATGTTCCCTTGCTTTTTCATGTTTCTTGTGTCCCTGTGTTGATATCTGTGCATCTAGAGGAACAGTAACTACTTTTAATTTTATAGATTGTTTTTTGTAGGAAAAAACTTTCATTTGCAGATGGGTCTTAGGGTGTCATTTGGACAGGGTCCATTGCCTCCAGTTCTGTGTGAGTGCAGTGGTGTAGCCTTTGTGTATCTTCTTCAGCTGTGATCAACATTATTGATAACTGCAGTTGCCTCAGTGGTCTACACTGTAGGAGTTTGTGGCAGCGTAGTGGCAGGGTAAGTTGTATGGTTCTTGGTGATAAGGGCTTTAGGGGTCTTCCTGTTTATGTTTACCCACAGTAGAGAGACTCAGCTGAGGGGATCCCTCTTGCTGTCTGGTTTGACATGTCCCATAGGCAGCCATAGTGGTGCTGTACTACAAGACACAGGTACTCAGAGTGGCTGTAGAGCTGAGGGCCTGGGCTCAATGTCTTGTTTCATTACTATAACACCTGTGACATTGATGCAGGTTCATTCTCTGAGGTGCAGGTGGGTGCTGCAGTCCCACTAAGCTAGGGTGGTGACTCTTAGGCACTCCTCAGTAGCTTGAAACCAAGAGAACAGGGAGGTAGTTGTGACTCTGGTCCTGGGGATCAAGGTGTAATACTGACATAGCTCTAGGGAAGAATTGGTGTTCTACAGGCTTAGTACTTATGGATCCAGCCATAGCTGCAATTTAGATCCTGGAAGCAGTGGAGGACAGAGACATTTTGAGCACTGAGAGAGGGGGTACTGTGTAGTGGTGGCTCCGGACCCTGGAGTGCTAGGACATAGCCGTGGCCAAAGCCCTGCAAGGTTGGCTGCATCAGCAGCAATAACCCAGGAATGTTGGGGCACGGCTGTAGCTTGGACTCCGGGGAGTAGGGGGCAATACAAAGGTATCTTCATTGCCCATGGAGGTGAGATGCCTCAGCAGTTCAGATTCCAAAAGGCTTGTACAGATTCAGGGAAGCAAGGTGCTGAAGCTCTTCAGCCCAGAGGACAAGGTAACCCAGCTCAGCCAAGGCTCTTTTTCCCTGGGGGGAAGGGTGCCTGTTAACTCCTGTTCCAGGGAATACAGCTGCTCTGCTGGACTGGGGTCCAAGCATTAGATTGCTTCAGGCACTGAGCGGGTATTGCTGTTCTTCCAGCTTGGCAACAGTGTCTCTGCTGGGTGGGAGCACATGATTCTTAGGGACTGAGTGCTGCATGGGCTTGGATGATGGAATTGTGACTGATCCTCTGGACTAAAGCTCAAATTCCTGAGGGACAGGACACTGGGTTGGTGTACTAGTCCATTCTCAAACTGCTATGAAGAAATCCCTAGGACTGGGTAATTTATAAAGGAAAGAGGTTTAATTGACTTACAGTTCTGCATTGCTGGGGAGGCCTCAGGAAACTTACAATCATGGCAGAAGGCAGAGGAGAAGCAGACACCTTCTTCACAGGGTGGCAGGATGGAGTGAGTGCAAGCAGGCAAAATGCCAGAAGCTTATAAAACCATCAGGCCTCACAAACTCACTCATTATCATGAAAAAAGCATGGGGGAACCGCCCCTACGATCCAATTACCTCCACCTTGTCCCTCCCTTGACACATGAGGATTACAATTCAAGATGAGATTTTGGGTGGGGACACAACCAAATCATATCAATTGATTTAGGTACTGAGGGGCTGTGGCTGCTTTCTGGCTCAAGTATGGCTTCTTGGCTGGGCAGGAGTGTCTGGTCCTTTGGTGGCAGGGCACCACATGGGCTCAGGCACTGAGGTTACACTGCTCTGTGGGGTCAAAGGCTAAATTTCCGAGGAGTGGGGCAGCTGGTTGGTTCAGTTGCTGGGGGAGTAGCTGCTCTCCTGAGCCTAGGCTCTGTGTAGACAGGGGTGGAGCTCAGCAGTGACTGGGATGCGGGGGAGGGATTCTCTCCTAGGCAATGTTTCCCAAGGAGAAGGAGCTGCAGCAGTTTAACTGGGGTCTGGTACTTTTCCCTGTACGAGAATGTGGTGTAATGGTAGTAGAGTCTCAGGGATGAAAGAATGCAGTGGCTACTTGTTCCTGGGGCAGGGCATACTCTATCAAGGGCTCCGGTTTCAAGATTGTGATGCACAGTAGCAGCACGGACCACAGGGGGTGGGGTGCAATGTGAGATCTTTTAGAGTAGTGCAGCCATGTGAACTCCAGGAAACACCCTAAGCTGGGCTTAGAACCTGTGAACACTGCAGGGTTTTTCAGTAACAAAGATTATAGGTATCCACTGTGGTGATGAAGGTTGCTAGGGGCCTCCTCCTTCCTGTTTCCATCATGGCAGAAATACTTCCTGTTTCTGAGCTGATTTTAGCTGGGGGCATGAGTGGCAGAGTCAAGGCTTTCTCGTCTTATCTCTATGCAGCCCTTCTGAGTTTCTGTGATCCACAGGGGCTCTTCACGGACCTACTCTACTTCAGTGCTTTCCTTTAGTTGCTCTGACCAAAATATAGTTATTCATTTGTTGTTTTGGTAACTGTTTTGGTGGAGAGGGATGAGAGTTAGGCACCTCTAGTGAGACATCTTGATGATGTCTCAAAAACTCTATCTTCCTATTGTTCTATTTTCAAGTTTGCTAATTCCTTGTGACATATTTTTTCTGCTAAGTTCCTGCCGGAAGTTTTATTATGATTATTATATATTTCATTTCCAAAATTTTAATTTCCTTATTCATGTTTTCTATTTCTTTAGTTACTGAAATTTTCTATTCTTTTTTTTTATTATACTTTAAGTTCTGGGGTACATGTGCAGAAGGTGGAGGTTTGTTACATAGGTATACATGTGCCATGGTGGTTTGCTGCACCCATCAACAGTCATCTACATTAGGTGTTTCTCCTAATGTTATCCCTCCCCTAGCCCCCCACCCCCCGACAGGCCCCGGTGTGATATTCTCCTCCCTGTGTCCAAGTGTTCTCATTGTTCAACTCCCACTTATGAGTGAGAACATGTGGTGTTTGGTTTTCTGTTCTTGCGTTAGTTTGCTGAGAAAGATGGTTTCCAGTTTCATCCATGTTCCTGCAAAGGACATGAACTCATCCTTTCTTATGGCTGCATAGTATTCCATGGCGTATATGTGCCACATTTTCTTTATCCAGTCTATCATTGATGGGCATTTGGGTTGGTTCCAAGTCTTTGCTATTGTTAACAGTGCCACAATAAACATATGTGTACATGTGTCTTTATGATAGAATGATTTATAATCCTTTGGGTATATACCCAGTAATGGGATTGCTGGGTTAAATAGTATTTCTAGTACTAGATCCTTGAGGATCACCACACTGTCTTCCACAATGGTTGAACTAATTTACACTCCCACCCACAGTGTAAAAGTGTTCCTATTTCTCCACATCCTCTCCAGCATCTGTTGAGGATATTTGTATTTGCTTGTTGAAGAACTTTTGTTGACAAATAATTCTAACATTCTGTCATCTCAGCATTGCGCCTCTTTTTTTTTTTCTTTTCTTTTTTTTTTTTTTTTTGGTCAATCAAGTTGTGATTTCCTGTCTCTTGCTATGACAAGAGCTATTTTATTATATCTTGTACATTTTGGCTGGTATGTTGAGAGACTCTGGATCCTAGTTCAGTCTTTTATTTCAACAGGCAGTTACACTGTTTAGCTTAACCATGTAAATACTGATCTAATTTTCTGGCCAACAGTTTTAATGACAGTTTAATTTTGAGATACTATTTTTATCTGCTTAATTGGCCTGATTCTATTAGGTCTTTTGCTAATCCTTCTTGGTGCCACCAGTGAGGACCAAAAGTGCTTCCCCAGGCAGGGTTATCTCCATTAGCTAGGCTCTGGAAGAGCACTTTTCCTGGCCCCTTGTTTTCTGTGGGTTCTTTCCTGATTCCTGCCTCAGCATTCAGGCATCATGGGTTGCTCAGTGTCTGGTGTAAGTTGTAAAGGTTGGGGAACTTTAGTTTCCAGGCACTTCCCTTGGCCTCTTGTAGGCAGGATTCCATTTCAATAAAGGGAGGAAGGGTCCTGCCTGAGCTGCTTTTTCGTACTGATTTGGGAATTATAAGATGCCCATGCTGTATCTCTTTGTGCTGGTGTGGGAGTTGGAGCAAGAACTGGAAGATGTTGAGGCACAGTGTTTTCCTTCAATCTTGCAATCCTTAACCAGTCTACCTTCCTCTTTCCACATCTCAGAGTCCTCCTATGGTTGTCTGTTGTGTTATCTTTAAGGTTTATAATTGTACGTAGAGGAGAGGAACAAGGAATGATGAGTCTATGCCATCTCATCCAGACTGCCTTTCAAGGGTATCTTTCTTTCTATAGCTCAAGTTCTTATTACTCTCTAATTTAAATTATTCAGTTAATTCCCATCACTCTCAAGTAAAATCAATACTTCTTAATCTGACCTTATCAATTAGGACCCTGTGCTACATGTAACAGAAACCACAATCCAAATAATAATTAATGAAACCTCTATCTTGGCTTATATCTGTAAAGCTCAGAGTCTTCAAGGGAGGCCTCATGCCAGGCTTAAACCATATCACCAGAATCCATCACTAGTCTGCTTTTTCTGATTGGCTCTCTCATAGTGTTTATAAAATATTTGCCACATTTTTCTTGGGGTCAGCTTATTCATGTTCATACCCCAAAGCAAGAAAAATATATGTAGACCCTAACACATCCCACCCTTACACACCAAGCAAGAAGGCTAAATGTCATGGGTTTCATGAGGTAACTTTCTCCATATTTGAACTCTAAGTATGTGGTGGGGTCAGGGAAGGCATCTTCTTACTCCTGTTTCCTGAAGAGTGTGTAGTAGTCAATATTTCCTGAAGCACATGGGCCGTAAGGAAGTAAAAATTCAGTTCCTGTTATTTAAAGAAAGGGAAAATGGGTCCATCAGGACCAAAAAAAAAATCCTGCAAATGTAATTACAGTGGTTTACAAGTACTGCCTTCATCTCTACTTGTTTGCTTTGCTACTTTCCACTCGTCCAGTGTATCTTTTTGTGCTCCCAAGAAACCATTGAGAAGCACTTTCAGATTTTTAGATGTATCATCTTTTTCCACCTTGAAGACTATGGTCATGCTACTCTCTTTGCTTGAAACACCCAACTCCATTCTTCTTCAGTACTATGGTTTGAATTTATCCCCAAAATTCATGTGTTGGTAACTTAATCCTTAATGCAATAGTGTTGAGGTTTTTAAAGAGATGATTAAGTCATGAGGGCTCTGCCCTTACAAATAGATTAATGCAGTTATCAAGGGATAGGTTAGTTCTCACAGGATTGGGATCCTAATAAAAGGGTAAGCTCAGCCCCTTCCCTTGTTCCTCTTTCTCCTGCATGTGCTGTCTCACCCTTCAACCTTTTGCTGTGCAATAATGTAGCAAGAAGGGCCTCACCAGATGCAGGTCCCTTGGCCTTGGAATTTCCAGCCTGTAGAACTGTAAGAAATATTTGTTCTTTATAAATATTTATTTATATTTATAAACAGAATACCTAGTCTCAGGTATTCTGTTACCTCAGCAAAAGACAAACTAAGACCAACAACTGATACTGAGTAGCGAGACTGTTGTTATAACAAATACCTGAAAATGTGGACACAGCTTTGGAGTTGGGTAATGGCTACGGGCTAGAAGAATTTGAATGAGCAAGCTAGAAAAAGTCTAGATCATCATGAATGGAGTGTTAAGGGCAATTCTGGTGAGGGCTTAGAAAAAGACAAGAACTTTCAACAGCTTACCAACCAAAAAGAGTCCAGGACCAGATGGATTCACAGCTGAATTCTACCAGAGGTACAAGGAGGAACTGGTACCATTCCTTCTGAAACTATTCCGATCAATAGAAAAAGAGGGAATCCTCCGTAACTCATTTTGTGAGGCCAGCATCATCCTGATACCAAAGACGGGCAGAGACAAAACCAAAAAAGAGAATTTTAGACCAATATCCTTGATGAACATTGATGCAAAAATCCTCAATGAAATACTGGCAAACCAAATCCAGCAGCACATCAAAAAACTTACCCACCATGATCAAGTGGGCTTCATCCCTGGGATGCAAGGCTGGTTCAATATACGCAAATCAATAAATGTAATCCAGCATATAAACAGAACCAATGACAAAAACCACGACTATCTCAATAGATACAGAAAAGGCCTTTGACAAAATTCAACAACGCTTCATGCTAAAAACTCTCAATAAATTAGGTGTTGATGGGACGTATCTCAAAATAATAAGAGCTATCTATGACAAACCCACAGCCAATATCATACTGAATGGGCAAAAACTGGAAGCATTCCCTTTGAAAACTGGCACAAGACAGGGATGCCCTCTCTCACCACTCCTATTCAACATAGTGTTGGAAGTTCTGGCCAGGGCAATTAGGCAGGAGAAGGAAATAAAGGGTATTCAATTAGGAAAAGAGGAAATCAAATTGTCCCTGTTTGCAGATGACATGATTGTATATCTAGAAAACCCCATTGTCTCAGCCCAAAATCTCCTTAAGCTGATAAGCAACTTCAGCAAAGTCTCAGGATACAAAATCAATGTACAAAAATCACAAGCATTCTTATACACCAAAAACAGGCAAACAGAGAGCCAAATCATGAGTGAACTCCCATTCACAATTGCTTCAAAGAGAATAAAATACCTAGGAATCCAACTTACAAGGGACGTGAAGGACCTCTTCAAGGAGAACTACAAACCACTGCTCAATGAAGTAAAAGAGGATACAAACAAATGGAAGAACATTCCATGCTCGTGGGTAGGAAGAATCAATATCGTGAAAATGGCCATACTGCCCAAGGTAATTTATAGCTTCAATGCCATCCCTATCAAGCTACCAATGACTTTCTTCACAGAATTGGAAAAAACCACTTTAAAGTTCATATGGAACCAAAAAAGAGCCCGCATCGCCAAGTCAATCCTAAGCCAAAAGAACAAAGCTGGAGGCATCACGCTACCTGACTTCAAACTATACTACAAGGCTACAGTAACCAAAACAGCATGGTACTGGTACCAAAACAGAGATATAGATCAATGGAACAGAACAGAGCCCTCAGAAATAATGCTGCGTATCTACAACGATCTGATCTTTGACAAACCTGAGAAAAACAAGCAATGGGGAAAGGATTCCCTATTTAATAAATGGTGCTGGGAAAACTGGCTAGCCATATGTAGAAAGCTGAAACTGGATCCCTTTCTTACACCTTATACAAAAATGAATTCAAGATGGATTAAAGACTTAAACGTTAGACCTAAAACCATAAAAACCCTAGAAGAAAACCTAGGCATTACCATTCAGGACATAGGCATGGGCAAGGACTTCATGTCTAAAACACCAAAAGCAATGGCAACAAAAGCCAAAATTGACAAATGGGATCTAATTAAACTAAAGAGCTTCTGCACAGCAAAAGAAACTACCATCAGAGTGAACAGGCAACCTACAAAATGGGAGAAAATTTTTGCAACCTACTCATCTGACAAAAGGCTAATATCCAGAATCTACAATGAACTCAAATTTACAAGAAAAAAACAAACAACCCCATCAAAAAGTGGGCAAAGGATATGAACAGACACTTCTCAAAAGAAGACATTTATGCAGCCAAAAGACATATGAAAAAATGCTCATCATCACTGGCCATCAGAGAAATGCAAATCAAAACCACAATGAGATACCATCTCACACCAGTTAGAATGGCAATCATTAAAAAGTCAGGAAACAACAGGTGCTGGAGAGGATATGGAGAAATAGGAACACTTTTACACTGTTGGTGGGACTGTAAACTAGTTCAACCATTGTGGAAGTCAGTGTGGCGATTCCTCAGGGATCTAGAACTGGAAATACCATTTGACCCAGCCATCCCATTACTGGGTATATACCCAAAGGACTATAAATCATGCTGCTATAAAGACACATGCACACGTATGTTCATTTCATCACTATTCACAATAGCAAAGACTTGGAACCAACCCAAATGTCCGACAATGGTAGACTGGATTAAGAAAATGTGGCACATATACACCATGGAATACTATGCAGCCATAAAAATGATGAGTTCATGTCCTTTGTAGAGACATGGATGAAATTGGAAATCATCATTCTCGGTAAACTATCGCAAGGACAAAAAACCAAACACCGCATGTTCTCACTCATAGATGGGAATTGAACAATGAGAGCACATGGACACAGGAAGGGGAACATCACACTCTGGGGGCTGTTGTGGGGTAGGGGGAAGGGGGAGGGATAGCATTAGGAGATATACCTAATGCTAAATGACGAGTTAATGGGTGCAGCACACCAGCATGGCACATGTATACATACGTAACTAACCTGCACATTGTGCACGTGTACCCTAAAACTTAAAGTATAATAATAATAAAAAAATTAAATTAAATTAAATTAAATTAAAAGAAAAAAGAAAAAGACAAGAACTGTAGCGAGAGCCTACATTTTCTTAGGAGTTACTTAAGTGGTTGAGATCAGAGTATTGGTAGAAATTTAAACAGTAAAGGCTACTCTGACAAGGTCTTAGTTGTAAATTAGGAATAGGGTATTGAAAAATGGAGTAAATACCATTCTTTTTATAAAGTTGCAAAGAATATGGTGGAATTATGTCTGTGTCCTTGGACTTTGCGGAAGGCAACACTTTAGAGGGATGAACTAGGACATCTGTCAGAAGAAATCTTTAAGCAGCAAAGTGTTTACAGAGCTACGTGACTTCTTTTGGTTCCTTATAGTAAAATGAGAGAAGAGAGAAATGATTAAAGATGGAATTTGTAATTAAAAAGGAAACAGAATGAAAAGATTTAGAAAACTCTCAGAGCCTAGCCAAGTAAAGCATGTTTGAGAGAGAATATTAATAGTGTGACAAAGGTGTTTGCTAAAGAGATTTATATGGCTAGAAAAACACCAGGTTCTGTTTGTCAAGACAATGGGAGAATGATCCTAAGGCATTTCAGGTGTGCAGAATGCAACAGCTGTAGGGCCATGGCGATCTACTCCTAAATTTAAATGGATGTTGCGAAGAACCTGTGAGCCAAGACAGAGGCTTGTCACAGGGATGGTGCCACCCCGGAGAGCCTCCACTGAGGAAATGTCCAGCAGAGCCATAGGAGTGAGGCCACTACATAAACTCCTTACTCTCATAATGTTTAGTGGAGCCATGGAAGTGAAGTAGACCCTGTGACCCCAGAACTACAGAGCAACCAATGTGCAACTGCATCCTGGGAGAGCTGCAGCCATAAGACTCTAACCCATTAGTGCTGCTGGGTGGACTGAGCCAAACAAAACCCTAGGGACAGGGCTTCATGAGGATGTGGGGTCCCACTGCCTTCCCATTGTGCCCAGATGTGAGACAAGAGCTCAACACAGATTATTGTCTAGTTTTAAGACATGATATGGTTTTTGTTGTTGGGTTTAGTACTGACTTGGGGCCTGTGATTTCTCTTTTTGTGCCTCTCTCTCTCTCTTTTAAAATGGGAATGTATATCCTATGCCTGCCCCCCCATTGTGTTTTGGAAGCATGTAACTTTTTTGATTTCATAGGCTCACAGATGGAGGGGAATTTGCCTGAAGATAAATCACGCCTTGAGTATGACCCATATCTGATTTAGATGAGGCTCTGGATTTTGAACTTTTGAGGTGATGCTGGAACCAGTTAAGACTAGGGTGAGATAAAAAGAATTTATTTTGTGTGTGAGAATGACATATGTTTTCCAAGCCAGGGGGCAGCATGCTATTGTTTGAATGTGTCACTAAATGCAAAGGTGTTGAGAAAGGGGACCTTTAAAAAGTGATTATGTCATAAGGGCTCTGCTTTCACGAGTAGGTTAATGCCATCATTGCAGGAGTGGGTTAGTTGTCATGGGAATGGGTTTCTGATAAACAGACACCCTCCTCTGTCTCTCATGTTTGTGCTGTCTTGCCCTTCCACCTTCCACTACGGTATGATGCAGCAAGAAGGCTCTCGCTGTATGTGGGCCCCTTGACCTTCGACTTTATAGCCTCCAGAACTGTAATAAATAAATCTCTGTTCTTTATTACCCAGTCTCAAATTTTCTGTTATTATCAGCACAAAACAGACTAGACATGCAGCCATTTTCCCTCTAGACACATGCACACACACCTATGACCTATGTCTTGTATTGTTTCTTATGCTTCTGCATTCATTTCAATACTTGCTCTGCAACTCTCTCTTACACTCAAAACTAGGTGATGCCCTACTGATTTTACAGCCTCCTTTACTTCTTTCACCATCACACTTATTATACCCTACTGCAGTGGCCTGGTTTTAGCTGTGTATCCCACTAACTTACAAGAAAAGAATTGTGTCTTAATCACAACTTGACCCTTATTACCTAACAAAGAGCCTCTTGAGTGATCCACTTTAAAAAACTCTAGGCGATCATATCATGCTATAAGTACATGAAGAAAAGAACAATTATAATGTTTAGGTAAACAAGGAGGAGCCTTTGTAGTAGGTGAACCTTGAAAAAGGAGTAGAAATTTTCCAGGTCTTAGTTTCAAGAAGGCATTTCAGGCAGTAGAAAGGTATTTCATGGAGACAGGCAAGTATAAGAGATATACCACCTGTTAAAATGAAACTGAACAGATCCCCGTCCCCATGGGCGTTATCCATCTGTGCCTTCAAATCCATGCTGAGGCTGCTTCTGCAAGCTTAAGAAATTGGTATTTTGCAGATCCCTGGAGTCCACATGACATTGTCTGGCCTTGTTTGTTACTGCTCTTTTTTCAGTGTGTAGGAATGAAGAATGAGTGCCAATAAATCTGAATGTCAAAAGTCAAATACAAATGTCAAGGCCATTCCACATCACTGGTTGTTTTGAATTCTGAGCCCAATTTTTGCAGGCTACTATGGTGGGGAGAACCACTTGGCTATGTCTCCATTTACTTATCAAAGGCTACTCCAGGCATAACAGACCTAGGCTGCAGGCAAATGGCCTTCTTATGCCATACAAGCACAGACTAACTCATCAAATGAAAAAGAATAGAGTTTGAAATTCCTTTATGAGTTTTAAGAATATTTCCTGTGAGAGAAATTTTGAAAGCTGCTCAATTAAAAGCAACTGTACTTCATATATTTTATTTTATTGTGTTGTTGGCTTCATTTAGGTTGAAATTAGGGAATCTAGCATTGTTATTGGTGTTTACTTTTTTGAGAAGTAGAGCAACTCAAATTATTCAGCAGGAGCAGAAGGGTTTGGTTGATCCTATGTTGTATTTATGCCTTATATGGTATTTTAAGATCTTATACAGGTAAATAGAATCACATAAAGGTAAGAAACTACCGGAGCTGTGGCTCATGCCTGTAATCCCAGCATTTTGGGAGGCCAAGGTGGGCAGATCACCTGAGGTCAGGAGTTCGAGACTAGCCTCACCAACATGGTGAAACACCATCTCTACTAAAAATACAAAAATTACCTGGGCATGGTGGTGCATGTCCGTAGTCCCAGCTACTCGGGAGGCTGAGGCAGGAGAATCGCTTGAACCCAGGAGGAGGAGGTTGCAGTGAGCCAAGACTGCACCACTGCATGCCAGCCTGGGTGACAGAGTGAGACTCCGTCTCAAAAAAATTAAAAAATGAAGAAAAAATAATGAAAAGAGAATAAACTATCTCCTTTGAGAAGACAAAGGAGAAAATAAGATATATTAAGCTCCGAGTTTGAATCAGGAACTTAAAAAATATACATATGTTATTTTATTTAACCCTCACTGGAAGCATGCATATTTGCCCAATGCCTAACTTTATCAAATGTTAATACTCTGTCTCAAAAAAAAAATTTTTTTTTTAAATCATACCCTATGTGGTCTTTTGTGCCTGGCTTATTTCACTTAGGGTAACGTATTAAATATTCACCTATGTCATATTACATATTATTCTTTGTATTGCAAAATAATATCCTAATGTATGTATACGCTACATATTTATCAGTTTATAAACATTTGGGTCATTCTCAAATTTGTGCTATGAACATTCATGTACAAGTTTTCATGTGTTTATGTTTTTATTTATTTTGAATATATATACTCAAAAGGAATAGAGTGCTGGGTCATCTGGCAACTCCATGTTTATCATTTTGAAGAACTGTGAAGATTTTACATTTCCACCAGAAATATATGAGAATTCAATTTTCTTCATATTCTTACCAACACTTTTTGTCTTCTTGTTATTTTAGTCATTATAATATTCAAGAAATGGTATCTCACTAGGGTTTTAATTTGCATTCCAATAATGTCTAATGATGTTGACCATCTTTTCATATGTTTGATGACCATTTTAAAATCTTCTATGGAGCAATAGCTATTCAAATAATGTGTCCATTTTTAAATGAGTTCTTTACATTTTTATTATTAAAGTTGTAAGTGTTCTTTATATACTCAGTGGACAAGTGTCATATTAGAAATAAAATTTGCAAATATTTTATCTCACTCTATGTATCTTCTTTTTATATTATTTGAAGTTTATTTTGCCTGATATTAGTAGAGCTACTTGAGCTCTATTTTGGTTGATGTTTGCATGGCATATCATTTTTCTATCCTTTTACCTTCAAGATATTTGATACATATAATCTGAATCTGAAGTATATCTCTTGTAGATAGCATAAAGTTGGATCATTTTTAAGTCCATTCTGCTAATATCTGCCTTTTATTGGAATGTTTGACACATTTACATTTAATGTAATTGTTGACAAGTCAGGATTTACTTCTGCCTCTTTGCTCTTTGTTTTCAGGCATTATGGGTCTTTCTTTACTCCCTATTCTTCTATCACAGCCTTCCTTAGTATTAAATGAATATATTAAAATACCATTTTAATTCCCTTTTTTTTTTAACGATGTAATTTTAAATTTTATTTTTGTAGTGGTTTCCCTGTGGATTACAATGAACATTTTCACTTAAAACAATGTAGGAATTCAATAAACATTTTTACTTAAAACAATCTAGGATTGATAACAACTTAGTTTCAGTGGTAGAGACAATCTTTGCTCATGGATAGTTCCATTTTCTCCTCCTTTTGCACTGTTATCATTAGCATATGCATATGACTTTATGCATCATAATATAATCAATGAAGTTTTTATGTATTGCTTAATGTAGCTGCCCTTTAAATCAAATGGGAAAGAAAGGGGCTTACAAACTGTATTGTCTCTAATATTTATTTATGTAGTTATCTTTATGGGTACCCTGTTTCTTCATGTGAACTTAGGGTACTGTCCAGTGCTTTTTCTATTTCTTCATTTTAGCCTGAAGGACACCCTTTGGTATTTCTTGTAGGGCAGGTCTGCTATTAATTAATATTCTCTTTATTTCTCTCATAGACATACCTTTACTTCTCCTTCAGTTTTGAAGGACAGTTTCGCTATTGGTTTTTTTCTTTCAACAGTTTGAATATGTCATCCCACCACATCGTGGCTTCTATGGTATCTAATAGGAAGCCTGCTACTAATCTCGTTGGAAATCATATGCGATGACTCCTTTTTTCGATACCTTTACAATTCTCTCATTGTATGTGTGTTTTGACAGTTTAATTATGATGGGTCTAAGTTATTATGTCTTTTAGTTTATCTTACTTGGAGGTCATTGAGCCTCTTGGATGTATGAATTAATATTTGTTAACAAATTTGGGGAATTTTCAGCCATAATTTCTTCAAGTATTCTTTTTGCCTTATTTTCTTTCTCATCCTTCTAGGACTTCCATTATGCATATGTCAGTGTGATTGATGGTACCACATAGTCTTTTTGAGGCTTTGTTCCCTTTTATTTATCTTTTTTTATTTCTGTTTCTCAAACCATAAAATCTCAATTTAGCTATCATAAATTCACTGTTTTTTTCCTTCTGCCTGCTTAAATCTGTTTTTGAACCCCTCTAGTGAACTTATTTCAATTATTGCCCATTTCAATGACACATTTTATTTATTTATTTTAAAAATAATTTCTATATAATTATTAATATTCTCTGTTTAAGGTATTATTCTCATATTTTATTTAATTATTTAGATATGAAGTCCTGTAGTTTGTTCAACATATTATGATACGTTAAAGTATGTTTAACTGACTTAAAGTTTTTTTTTATTAACATCAATATATGTATGGGCATCCTTGGAGAGACTTTAACTTACTGCTGTGCTTTCCTTTTCCCCTTCCTGCCCCCACATGGGTTTACTTTTATGTTTCTTTGTGTATCCCATAATTTTTATTGAAAGCTGAACAATTTAAGTAACGTAATGTGACAGCTCTGAAAATCAGATTCACCTCCACTTGCCAAAGCTCTTATTTGATTACTGATGTTTATTGCTGTTTTTTTTTTGGTTTTTTTTTCATTTTTGGTAACTTTCCTGGAATAATTCTGTAAAGTCTGTATTCCTTATCATGTGCAGCCACTGACATCTCTTTTCCATTAACTTAGTGGTCCACTGATTTCTACAGAGATTGCCTTAAATATCTTCATCAAGTAGAACTCTCTTCCTTTGCCAAATATTCACATTTGTGCTGGGGCAAGCCTTCAGTGCTCCAGCAGTTTACAACTCTGTAATTACCTTCACTTCTTGGTTTTTCAGGATTCAAGATCAGACAGAGGTGAGAGAGTAGGGCCTGCTGGGATCTTTCCTACCCTTGTGCACAACTCTGTTCATGCGTATAACATTGTGAATCCCTGGGAATATGTAGAGATTTTCAAAGCCCAGTAGGAAATATTATTCCCCATATTTTCATCTTAAGCTTTTTGACAAGCTTCTTGTTTGCCCCAACTTGCTTTGCTGCCTCAGGCATCAGCCACGTTAAACAATTGCTGCTGATTGCTTCAACAAACTCTCTTATGATAGGGCTTTCCTCCCTGAATGAGCTTTAAGTCAGGTCAGATAAAGTTTAAAAAAGTGACAGTTCTTCAGTTTGGAACTTCTGAAGATCTCCAAACTCTACCTCTTCCAGTGTTTAGTGGACTTCTAGTTTTTACTGCTTTTATGGCTGCTAGATTGTTAAATTTTAAAGTTCACACAGAGCTGGGGAAAGGGGGATGGAAATAGAGCTTAAAATGATACAAAGCTTGCTGGTTTTGTTGTTGTCATTTTTACCAAGGTTCTGCCTTTTTTCTTCTATAAACACTCCTTAGATTGTTACAAGCCTTTGGTTTATTTCTAGAGTTCTTAAAAAAAGTTGATTTTTTTTACAAATGTTACCTATCTTTCATTGATTTTATGGAGAGACAGATGTTTGGAGGGACTTACTTTATCATCTGGAAGTAATTAGATGTTTGGAGGGACTTACTTTATCATCTGGAAGTACTCTTCTTCATTGATAGGTCTTAAAAGTTTTGGCATTTCAGTACAACATAGATTTATGTGAATTTATCTTTCATTATTCTGCTGGGTACTCAAAGGGAATTTTAATTTGTATCTTTAATTCTGAAAAATTTTCACCAGTTTTATCTTCAATTATTACGTCTTTGTTATTCCTTCTGTTCAAGACTTTGAGTCTTATTTTGTTTCCTGTTGGAGCTTTTAATCTATTCTTCATCTCTATTAGGTGTTATTTCAATGTTTTTTGTCTTGGTCTTGCTACTGCATTCTGAGTTAAATTTTAAATATTGTCTTCCAGTTTAACAAACTCTTCTATATTGTGACTAGTTTTTGAAATTTTTAGGATGATTTAATTATTTTTTTATTTTAATTGAGGGTTTTTATTTATTTATTTATTTTTTTGACGGAGTTTTGCTCTTGTAGCCCAGGCTGGAGTGCAATGGCATGCCCTCAGCTCACCGCAACCTCCACCTCCTGAGTTCAAGCCATTCTCCTGCCTCAGCCTCCTGAGTAGCTGGGATTTTAGACATGTGCCACAACGCCCAGCTAATTTTTTGTATTTTTAGTAGAGATGGGGTTTCTCCATGTTGTTTAGGCTGGTCCGAACTCCCAACCTCAGGTGATCCGCCCACCTCGGCGTCCCAAAGTGCTGGGATTACAGGCATAAGCCACCACAGAGGTTTTTTGTTTGTTTGTTTTTTTAATCCTACCAATAAACTCAGAGTTTTCTTCTCTCTCTTTTTTTATTTTTAACAATCTCTTGGGTTTTTTATTTTGGTTTTTGAAAATGAAGATTTAAAAAAAATTTCTCTCCTGAAACATTCGTCTGTAAGTTTTAAAATGTTGATCATTCCATCTGGAGTAATTCTTCTGTGTATTGTTTGTGATGGTTGTAATTTTAACATTAAATTTCACATGAATTTTGGAATTTGGATTTGCTGGCTCATTTTTGAGTGGGAGTTTGTTGTGTTTCATTTTACTTTTCCTCTCTGTTTATGCTTACTTTTTTCTCCCTACCATTTCTTGGCTCACATTAAATAATGAATCACTATAATGTAATTGGACGTATCTGTGCTGAGACAGTATTAGGGAGAGGGTAGATATGGTCACCCAGTCAGGAAGCATCTTATTGTCTCATTTTAAGTCTCTGGCTGTCATCTCCCTAGGCCTGCAGCTACCAGGAACTAGAAATCTGAAAAGTGTTCAGTGACATCTCTCTACCCCCTTATTTATTCTGGGGAGATTTAAAACTTAAGCCTTCTCAGATCCAGGTGTCATTCAGAATAAGGTTATGTTGCAATAGCTTATAACCCTAACATCTCTGTGGCATTAAAAAACAACAACGAAGTTTCATTTCTCACTAATCTTTAATGTCTGTTGTGGGTCCTGTGGCTATGTCTTATCATCACTTTTATTCTGTGACTGAGATAGATGAGATTGTCTCTTCCTGGATCAAAAGCATATGGGAAAACTGATCAGTGGCTTCTAAAGCTTCTTCCACAAGGCATCATATCATTTTTGCTCACATTCCATAGACTCGAACAAGTCATGAGGCCAAGCCTAACATTAATACCACAATAAAGTAGATTCTGCCCCACTAGAGGGTTAATATTTTATATTAAAGTATAATATGGTCTACCAAATTCTCTTTCACTTATTTTTTTTACCTGTAATAGTGTAACCTTTAGCTACCACTGTCTGCTTTGATTCCCTCAAACTGCCTGAACTATTGCTTCAGCTGTGAACAACACTTTCTATTTCTATTCTATTCTGTGTACTTGTTTTCTTGATTTTAGCCCAATTATCTCTCTGATTTTCTATTTTTCTCTTTGTGTCTCATTGTTCTATGTTTGGAGCATAGGAAGGTGCCTCAGATAATAAATTAAATATCCTATCTCATTCATAATGGCATCAATTTTTTTTGGTGGAAGAAAAACAAACTTCACAAATCCATAATTAAATCTCCTCTCTCTCCCACAAATCACCTTTTGGAATCAGTTTTAGTATCAGACTAGGGAACCAACATCCTCTGTGTCTGGTATGAGATGCAATCTTTATATTTCTTTAAGGTTTTGGTGTTAATTGATCCAGTAGAATTTTTATGTAACCAAAATTTATTCCTTGGCCTGAAATGTTCTCTAATTAGTTACTATAAACTGGTGCTTATTCAGCCGAGCTGTGCAATTTTGGGACTTTTGGGTTAATAAAAGCCTAATCTGCTCATTTGTTTACACTGTTTACTCCCTAAAGGCTTATGCTTTGTGACTGAAAACAATGCTTAATAAGCAGAAGAAAGCATGTTAATTGTAGGCACTGCCATGCTGCTGTGTACCTAAGAGCTGGGCTTGGCTGCAGCTCAAACAGGTCTTGGGTAGAACTAACCAAGTTGCCCTCAAGCTTAACTTCCAATTGTCACAAAATTCATCTTGGGCTTAGAGATGAATTTTAAATACATCGAAGAGTAAAATGCTCTGTTACCAGAGTGGGTCAGTGGAGCTCAGCTACCATCGATCTACACTCTAACTCTCTTCCTCCATCAACCTTTACATCCTCTAATGGAGGAATGTCTCCCATATGAAATAGTGGCCACTCACCCAAATGTAATATTGGTGACAGACAAAGGGAAACTAAGCTCTAACCTCTCTCCCCACCAAAAGTTCACATTTCTTCAGTCAAATCATCATGTGGACAGAAATCAATTTCTTCTCTATGCTGTCACTGAGAAAGAGGGAATATATAAAACTCACGTATAAAAATACAGAAGTAAAATGAAGATCTCTATGTTAAGTGAGTACTATCCAGAATAATTGATTTCCATTACTGGATATCTTCAAATAAATGATTGATGGTAATTTGATATCACAAAAGAGAAAGCAGTATTTTTTATAAAAAAGCTTTATTGGTATAACAGAGGTATAATGACATTTTTTAAAAAGTTACACATGTAATGTATATAACCTTAATGAGTCTGGACACTTGTGATACTGTTACCACAACCAAGGTGTGAAACATATCATCAAGACCACAGTTTTTGTGTATGTGTGCACATTCATGACAGGATATGTGTTACAGAGCTAATGTCTTTATTTTAAAAAGCTTTATTCATTTGGATTTTATTCCTTACTATTATATTCTTTATTCAACAGTTGTCTTTCCATCTCATCTCTCCTGATTCTTCCCCATGCTTTAAAAAATGTTAATGTCTTCTTGAGACTGTCAAAAACAACATTACAACAAATTTCTTTATAGATCTAATTGGCTTTTATAGGTGATACATGAATCAGGGCAGCCTTCATTCTACAAAACTGAACAAGTGTTCTTCTGGGCAGGGGCAAAACACTGGGTTTTGAAAGGTGAAAAGTAGGAAATAGAAAAATGGAAATCTAGTAAGCATCATATTACCTCAGGTTACTTTTTTTAAAGGGGTAAAGCAGAAGAGACTTCCTTATTAGGATTACTGAGGTAAACTGGAATCTCTTGTTTTCAGGAAAGATTGTTTTGTTTGGGGATCTATCTGCTTTCTTAAATTTTCATTTTAATTATGTGGCATTTAGCATGAGTGACTCCATTTTGGTTTGGTCTGGTCGTTTAGGGCCTAGTGCAGGAGTTCAGTCTGAAACAATGGCCTCCCATAATCTTGTTTAACAATTCTAAAAGAAGGTCGTTCCTTTAACTCTATTCCTCTCTGTGGTTTCATCCCTCTCCTTTACCAATCGATTCATATTTACTTTTGTATGTTCTCAAAGGCAAGTTAAATAATACTGCATACTGAAGTCTGTTCAGTGTCCCCACAATCATAATAAAATGTCTAAGACAGACTTATGAGCTTCTCAAACTGTGTTGTGGGTGTACTTTTAGGCTCATGTGAGATCATGAATATGGTGCATTCTCCTGAAGTATCAATTTTACTCAGTACTGAAAACATTATTCTATCATTAAAACAAACACAACTAGATTAGAGAGTATATTGCAAAATCTCCATGAACTTAATACTAAAATAAGAGTCTGAAAGCCGACTGGTACCCCAGATTGTCAATCAGCTCCTATTGGAAGCCTGTCAAGTCCACCATAGAGCAGCAGCCAAACCATTTCATGGGAGAGAACGAGGACTCTGCAGCGAAGTCTGAAAGTGCTGCAGCCCTCTGGACCCTGTGGACTCTCAAAACTAATCAAATGGAATGTCCATCCAAGACAAAGCCCCGCACCAATGTGAAATTGTTGAGAGAAAACCAAAATTTATCAAATAGCTACAATAGAAGCAAAGGAAATAAAGTGGTAAAGAGAGAGAGAGGGGGAGGCAAAGAAAAGGAGGAACAAAAGCAGCATTACCACAGTGAATGTGAATTTTAAAATTATTTTCTCATTTATTATTTTGCAAAAATGACAGGAGAGGGAGCCCTAGAGCCATAATGCTAGAAAACTATCCTGACCCTTCCTCTTTCCTAAAAGTACAAAGAAACTCCAAAGAAGAAAAGAGGAGAAAGATGAGGAGGAGGAGGAAGAGAGGAGAGGAATAGGGGTAAAAATAAATCTTGGTCAACTCTTATACAAACTTATTATAAATTCTTACAGGGAAGGAGAATGAAAACAGAATGATGCAGACAAGGAAATTATGCCATAAAGCTAGTCCCAAAACAAATGAAAACTACAACCTAATATTTTTTAAAAATAGCTAAAATAAGAAGCTATGAAAAAAAGATGTATACCAGAATTAGAAAAACTCTGAAAAGAGGCAATTAGAAAAATTAAGATCTAAAAAGAGAAGTAACAGGACAAATTTAGAAATGAAAATGAACCTTTTTACAATCAGTCTTCATTTTTACTCCATTGCGTTCGACACTGTTGTTCTGAAAGTCTTTCCTGCTCTGGACTCTGGAAGATGTTAGTCCTTCTAATTCTCCTGCAGCTACTGCTTCCTGCTCTAATTCATGGCTCTTCATCACTGCCATAGAAATGGGACGTTTCCTATGGCTCTCTCTGGGCCACATCTTTCAGTTAACTTGGCCCAGTGGCTGCAACAACTTTTAAAGTTTATAAATAACTTTAAATATGGCTGCATTTCAAATAAACCCCTCACTTCTTGACCTGCTCCATACTTGACTATCCAGGTGCCTTTGGGATGTCTCACTGGCATTTCAGGTGGGTCATGTCCAAAGTCACCTACTCAGTGCTTAAATCTACCTCTCATATACAATTTCATAATTTGGAAAACAATGTTTTTTTTCTGTCACTCAGATTCAAAACTCCAGAAGCATCCATCACTGCTTTCTTCTTTGTCATGTTCATTATATCAAATGTCCTTGTTTGCTCATGTCTGCCCCCAAAGTACCTCGAATCTGTTCTCTCCTTTAACTCTTCACTGCCACTCCCTCAACACCACTCTCTACTTGCAATAAATAACTGTTTTTTGCCTTCTCTGACTTCATTTTGTCTCATCTGCTAGTGATGTTGTCAAACTGATCTCAATTGGTAGATCGGAGTTGTCTTCTAGGGGAGTTTATGAATGTAAACAAAACTGTGAATGTGGCCTCCTGAAGTTGCATATTTGACCTGGCTCTGTCTTCTTCAGGGCAACAGATTCTCAACCTGGTTTTGTTGTTAGTACAGTTGAAAGAATTAATTTTAAGAAAAACAAGTCAGAAGAAATTACAGTGCAGTAACTAGTAAAATAATCATGACTACATTAAAATATTTTTAAATACCCTTAAAATGGTTCAAGGTATTATCCTCTAGAAGTGTATTGCTATTTATTGCCTTTTCAATACTCTTTTGTATACCTGAGGCAATGTCTTTGAGAACCTACTTGAAAAAAAGTGTAACACTGTTTTCCTCTTACTCACAGTACCTTGTACCCTGATATTTGTAACATCACAAAACCCACAGAGTTAGGGGCTGACCAAATATACACAGTAAGTTATAGTATTGGGTAAATGAAACAATCCTGCAACAAAAGATTCTTCAGTTCCAATACAGAAGAATAAAGGAAACACAATTTAATTTTGAGAAAGCATTACCAGGTTGACATGTATATAAGGTGGCACACAAGAAACTATAAACTCTGGACAGAATCTTACACAAATCTATACAGCAGTCAAAGAAAGAACAATAGAAACTTCTCTTATCTCCTTGAGAGATAAATAGATGAGCCCTGTCATCTGCTCTATAGTTGTGAGATAGCACAGAGCTAATTTGTAGGTTTACAGTTCCAAGGGGAAGAAGGCCAGAAAACTGAATCAAAAGGACTATCTTGTTTGGGGGTTTATTAAGTTTACAAGGAAACACCCCAAAGGAAAAAAGCGTGAGTATGAAGCCACTTCTCTCCTCAAAGAAAATTTTATAATTTATTTTTACAGTTGCAACTACAATCACTTGTAAAGACAAATCCCAGATTCCTTAGAAACTAGAAGCATAGTAATGAAGAGTTCTCGAAACATCTGCAAGCTACTGTGTATAAATGGAAAATCACTGGGCTATAGAGAGACGGTCAGATTTTTTGTGTGTGGAATTTTTAATGCATTTTGTAATCTCACATCAACTTGATTTTTACTCACATTTCCCACTCCTACATCCTTATCTCGGACCCCTTGGGATATAGAGAAGGACTGGCTGGGCTGGAGTCAGTTGGAATGCAGACAGTGGTAGGTCACACAGAGGCTCTGCAGGTGACTGGGAGATACTCAAGGTTCATAGGATAATTGGATGTCAGTCATTCTGATAGTGGAATTCAATGATATAGAAGAGGATTATTTAGACAATATGTAGTCAAGCAGTCTGCCAATAATTTATTGAGTACCTGCTATATGCCAGGGGCTAGATAATTTCCAAGAACAGAGTATATCAGCATGATAGAGTTCTAACAAAAGATGCTGAGACTTATTGGTGCGGCTGTATATCTGGAGAAGAGCTCCGGTGTCTAGAAAATGAGAGAGGTAAAGAGATTTTACCCTAGGCTGGGTGCGGTGGCTCACACCTGTAATCCTAGCACTTTGAGAGGCCAAGGCGGGCGGATCACCGAAGTCAGGAGTTCAAACCAGCCTGGCCAATGCGGTGAAACCCCATCTCTACTAAAAATACAAAAACTAGCTGGGCATGTTGGCTTGTACCAGTAATCCCAGCTACTCAGGAGGCTGAGGCAGGAGAGTCACTTGAACCGGGGAGTCAGAGGTTGCAGTGAGGTGAGATTGCGCCATTGCACTCCAGCCTGGGTGACAAGAGCGAAATTCCGTCTCAAAAAAAAAAAAAAAAGACATTTCAGTCTAACGTAAAGGAAATCTCTCTAGAAACTGGAGTATTATGTAAGAGATGGTCTTTTGAGAAATACAGGCAGAAGCCATGTAGCATTTGTTGACAACACTGATGGGGGATTCGTGCACCAGGCCCAATGGTGAACTCTAGAATCTCTAGGTCTCTAGGGTTCCTTCTAATTCAAGAAGCCAAGTGAGACACTGTAGCAGACAGTGTCTCCAGGCAGGGTACTGAGCAAAGAGGATAGTGAAAAGGGCAGTGAAACATCGGCCTTTTTCACTGGCAACTTCAAGACTCACTGCCTACAATGTAAGTATTCCTCGTATTCCCTAACAACAGTTCAACTGGAAGAGTGGTTTCTGTGAATCCCTTTGACTTTTTATCTTGCCTTGGTCCTGGCTCCATGGAGGTCCACTGTCCAAGAATAGAAGAGCTGGACCCGCCATGATACACCCTTCGTCATGTTGGCCATGTCTGGATAGGTCCCTTGACTTCAGTGTCTTTCTTAAGGTTCCTGCCTTTGGTTCTCTTTGCTTCCTCTTTGGATTTATAGCCGGTTTCTGACTCTCTTGTGCTTGAATCTTATTTCTCGGTTTTCTGTCTCTATCGCCTTCTAGACTATTACTTGTGATTTAAAAAACTATATTTGCTAGCTATCTGAAAATCAAGTTAACATTAGCAAAATGTTTTAGCAATGCTCTGGGTTTCTACATCTTTACTTTTCTGCGGAAGGTGAGAGACATCTTACATTTGGTTAGGATATTTCTTAGTTTCCCTTGTGATTTTTGGTTTTAACAAATGAGCAAGCCCCAGGGTGATTATTATAACAATTATTTTTACCTACGGGCAAGAAAGGGAAACATATTCAACCACTAACATTGACTTAGCTTTATTTTTAAGCATCCCAATCATTAGCACCATTCATTCATTTAACAAATATTGAACTCTGTTTTACAGTAATTTACTGTGCTGAATGTTATAGGGAATGAGAGTGTGCATATTACATGTTAATGATATTGCCTAGCATTTAGTAGGTGCTTAATTAATGTTAGTACATTTGGCTGTTGATGATGACAAAAATGATGAAAGTGGCATACATAGTATTAATGAAGTCTATTTTCTGTATTATAATATTTGGAAGTTATAGGAGATTAGCAAACAAGCTGCAAAGTACCAAATAAGATATATTAAAGCAAGAGTTCAGTCTCAAATGCTAGTGAAGGAGGCATTTCTAAATGTGACTAGGAGTCTCCCAATTTGAATTTTCACTTCCCTTAAGGTGACCTGAGCAGAATCCAAATCCTTTGACTTGATGTGGGTGGACAGCTGGTGCACAGAGGAGCTAGGGGCACAATTGAGCTGGAAAGGCTGTTAACTGAAGTATCCTAAGACTGCCTAATTAAGGGGAAGAGATCTGGGGAGCTGGAAGGTGGGAAAGAATTGAATTCTTCTTTATCAAAGGGCAAAGGCAAGGTTATGAAAGTAAATGAGTATTGTGTTCAGATAGAGAAATAGTGGTATAGTGAATGCAGCAAAGATACTTCAAATGACTGAGTCCTGGGAAAAGGAGCATGTGATGGAACATGCCTATTAGGCAGACTAGTGTGTTCCGCTAGAGAAAAGTTGCACTTCGAAGATGTGGCCACTGTCTGGAGGTACATATTTTAAACCACTGTATCCATATCAGTCCAACCACCATGTTTAATCTCAGGAATCTGGAGAGATTTATCCATGGTATCGGGATCAGTAAGCACTGGAAATTAAGAGCGTAAGACTGAAGTAACTATGAAAACTTATAGTTGAAGTGGTCACTCCATCAGCTTCCTTATGTGTTGGCAAGATAGTGTTAGAAAAACATCTTTCTTTTTCTTTCTGTCTTCAAAAAATGAGCTGACACATTCCATCTGGAATGTGTCATTAAGGCCAGTAGCAGATTGCCAAGCCCTCCAACAATGAATTACAGCCATCAAGCTGTGGCATTGGAGAAGTAAGGGTTAATCATTGTGTCATTGGTATCCACAGAGTTCATAATTTTGGACTTTGTGCAAATGGAAAATTGTAATCTTCAGCTGCCTTTTGCCAGGCTACAGAATGGCAGCAGAGTCCAATGTGATAGACATATTAGTGGTAAAAAGCCTGTTTACCTGGTGCAAACAGGGCTTATCTTTCAAGACACTATTTGAAGAGTACGCAGAATTTCTTGGGAGAGGAATATTCTGGAGGATGGATATATTCACTTGCCCCTGTGGCATTTGTTTTCTCCTTGTAATGTCTGTGTGATGTGATGGTAAATTCAGAATATCTGTTCCAATAGACACATTCAATGTAACACTCAACATGATCCATTGCTATCCCATGCTTTGCTTTCTTCGGGTTCCTTTAAATTACCAAAGTCTCTTGTATGTGAGCTGCTTTGACCAGTTTTCATTTTAGGAATGAGAGGAAAGCATCTCTTACCAAAAAAGTAGGAAAATTCCACCATTAGTTACCCATTTAATTTGTTTCAAATAGCATGTGAAAAACAGCAGTCATCTAGGTAAAAGAATGGGCTGAATCCACTAGAGGTGCGTAGTATGAGTTTTTTAACCAAATTCCTTTACTCTAATACTTTTGTGAGATCAGATATAGTTAAAGAATGTTTGATTGGGTGCTAGGAAAGTGAGAGAAAACAGAGCTCATTCACGACAGAGAGAGGAGGCCCTGGTGTGTTGCCACAAATGAGTAGCATCTTGGATAAATGCAAATGTCTGGAAGTCAGGGGAGAGTGGATATTAGCAGAAAATGAATGTGCAAAAGGGTTTGAAATATTTCAAACTTTATAAATCAGCTTGAGGCTACTCTGCATGATCTAACTTTTTTGAAAACAAACATGCTGATCAAGGGGGTCAAATTGGTGAGCTCAGGTTTAATGGACTAAAACTGAGAAACTAAAAATTACAGCAACTGCCAAGAACCTTGCATATCCTTATCAGTTTATGATATTTACTCAGATATATTGATTTCAAGACAAAAATATATCTTTCAAATTGTGTCTACATAAAATATCAGGGTTAATGTAGAAGAACAGGACAACCCATGGAGTAGTACTATTTACCAGGCCCTTTATTTTTATTTTTTTTAAATTTTTTGAGACAAGATCTCGCTCTGTCACCCAGGCTGGAGTGCAGTGGCCTGATCACGGCTCACTGAAGCTTTGATCTCCTGGGCTCCAACCATCTGCCCCACTCAGCCTCCTAAGTAGCTGGGACTACAGGCACGCACCACCAAGCCCAGCTAATTTTCGGTTTTTGATTATTTTTGTTTTGTTTTTATGGTAGGGACAAGGCTTTGCCATTTTGCCCAGGCTGGTCTCAAAATCCTGGGCTCAAATGATTCACCTGTCTTGGCTCCCAGAGTGTTGGGATTACAGATGTAAACATCGCACCCAGCCTCCCTAGGTTCCTTATTTTGTGATTGTGTTGAATGTTTACTACAATCCTCTGAACTAACACAAAGATTTTATGATGTAGAAAATTCTGGTTTAAAGAGTATCAAAGAAACCGTCTGAGGCTATGTGAATCTTAAGGGAGGAATTTTGCATTCAGAACTCTGTGAGGACTCCAGACCCCTATACTTCCTGTAGATGATCCTCCCCTCCAGTAAAGGCACCTGTGTTGAATGAGTGCAGACCATTCAAGGGATTCGGTTGTAGTATGACAGGGGCAGTAGAAAACTTTATCTGTGGATGTGAGAGTCGGTTTAGAAGTTTATTTTGGAAATGTGTGGTCAATATTCTTTTAAATTGCCTGTAAATGTTTCTGCGCTTATTTGTGTGGGACTCTAAATGACAGAATAGATAGGGAAATCTAGTTACCCATCTATCTCCTAATAAATCATTGAAGACAATTGCATCAACAGAAGTATGTGTATTTCATCTTTGCTGAAGGGCACATTTAAAAAAATGTTAGTTCAATAATCTCATTTGTAAATCTCAGAAATCTTGTGATGTATAATTTTTCACCTTAAAGAGTTTCTTTTTCTTTCATTCATTCATTTTTTTGACTTTATGAGAGAATCAGAATCTCTTTGACATCATTTGCAGAACATTGCAGATGAATAAAAGGGTGGTGATTGAGTTATTCCGGTGTTGAGGAAAGAGTGTGGGCTTTCAAGTCAGACATGCCCATGATGAAGCGTAAATATGTATTTTGAGTTATAAAATGAAGACAACAATACTTCTCACAGGATCGTGGGGAAAATTAAATGAGATAATGGCTACAAAAAATATTTAGCTCAATAATTTGAACACACGAAGTAGTCCCTCCTTATCCATGGCTTCACTTTACGGTTTTAGTTCCCCAAGGTCAACCATAGTCCAAAAATATTAAGTGGACAGTTCCAGGCATAAACAATTTATAAGTTTTAAATTGTGTACTGTTCTGAATACTGTGATGAAATTTCACACCATTATGCTTTGTCCCTTTGTCCAGCACATCCGCGCCATCCGTGCTCCCAGCCCACCAGTCACTTAGTAGCTGTTTCACTTATCAGATCAACCATCACAGTGGCACTGTGCTAGTGTCCAAGTAACCCTTGTTTTACTTAATGGCCCCAAAGTGCAAGAGTGGTGATGCTGTCAATTTGCACCCGCCAAAGAGAAACTGCAAAGTGCTTCCTTTAAGTGAAAAGGTGAAACTTCTGGACTTAATAAGGAAAGAAAAAATTATATGCTGACATTGCTAAGATCTATGGTAAGAATGAATCTTCTAAGTGAAATTCTGAAGAAGGCAAAAGAAATTCATGCTAATTTTGCTGTCACACATCAAGCTGCAAAGGTTTTGGCTACAATGCATGATAAGGGCTTAATTAAGATGGAAAAGGCATTGCATTTGTGGGTGGAAGACATGAACAGAAATGTATTTCGAACGACAGCAATCAGGTTCAGTACTGTTCGTGGTTTCTGGCATCCACAGGGGGTCGAGGATAAAAGGGGGCCACTATAGTAAGTGCTCAATAAATGCTAGCCACAAAATCATTATCATTCTTATTGCTATAATCACACATGAGAAAATCAATTATCTTCTTCAGGCCTTGGATTCCAATCTTGTAAAGTGAGGTTTAAATGAGAATGCATATGTGAAGCATTTGCCTTACAACACAAAGCCTTAATAAGTGCCAGTGACTCTTCTCCATCCGTTTTCATCCAGACACCACTTTCTTGCCAACTAACTGCCCTTTGCTAGGCTTGAGAATGCAGACGGTCAAAATTGACGCTATTTTCAGAGCCACAGAATTTCAACATAGCCTATCTGGGAAGGTACACATTCTCAAATTTACCTTCCCTGACTACAGAAGTTACCAAATGTGGAAACTTTGATCCATACTTTATCTAATTAGATACCAATTAGCTTTCTGCTATAAGAAATGTACTACTGGGGTTAGTACTACTGGGGGTTAGAGCATCCCAAGTATATTGAAGCCAATCATGTAATTTTCATCAGCTTTTCTTAGAACTCATTTTTAGTCAGTGCTATTCAAATGTATTATGCACACAAATCCCCTGATGAACCTGTGACAAATGAAGGTTTTGTTTCACAAGGTTGGGGAAGAGGCTGGAGGTTCTGAATTTCTAAGGTCTCAGTTGATGGCAATGCTGCAAGACCATCCCTTTGAGTGGTTAGAGTCTTGGGTCCTTGCTAATATTGTGGTAGGTAATGAGCCCTCACCCTAGTTAGACTGCAGCTTTCACCAGCAGATACCATCGGACATTCCTTTGATCGTATATCTTCCACTATCAGCTTTGTGTCTCATTTTTTCAGCATACTTTCATTTAAACGTGAATGCACTTAGAGTAAAACCACTCACTGCTCCTCAAATAATTCCCTTTAATCTTGTCTCTGCGTCTTTTGTCCCTGTGTCTTTCTTTTATTTATTTATTTATATTTTTCTTTTTAGTACCCTTCCCCTTTGTCAGCTTTGCAAAATCCTTCCAGACCCTGTTTAAATCTTTCCTCCTCCGTTTAGAAACTGGCTTGAAGGGGAGAGGTGTCATTGCCAGATCTTGAGGCCCTGGGAGGAAATCTGCTGGAAGGTGGGGAGGTGTATGGAGGATGGAAGCAGACACATGAGTTAAGAGGCTGATGTATTAGAGCATGAAAGAGGTGACGTGGTCTTGAATCTGGGATGATCTCCAAGGAGATGTTCCTGATGAGCTTATGACTTGGGCAAATTGGCTAAGCAACCTGAGCCTCTGGGCCTTTGTAAAATTGCAGAGATGGTCCTATAGTCTCTAAATTATCTTTCAGATTAAATATTCTGAATTTGGTGGGCTGTAAGCAAATGTGCACAGGCCTGTTCCAAAGACTTCTTAGTTTGGATCAGTACATTTTAGTATGTCACTTCTATTGCTAAAAATCTTTATTTTCAAATTTTTCTGTCAAAGGTTTTTCTGAAACATCAACTGAGAATGAGGGGAAAATGTTGCTTTAGGAGATTTTATCTAATCTTATTAATAGCAAATTGTATAGAGATTTCTTATGAACATTTAAGAAATAGAATTCATTCATCCTAATCTACTGCTAGAGAAGCATTTGTTTATAGAGAGACTGGGTCCTTTCATATCAGAAAGCAAGTGACACCTCAGGGAAACATCAGCTATGGCTTTAAGCAGATGTGAGTGTCAACAAGGTTTGAGTTCCTCATGTGCCTTATTGACACTTCCTGTTATAAATATGACTTATAGGTCTTTTCAACAATGACAATGACAATTGAGGCCTGAAATTATGCCCGATTGTCTGAATACTTAGATAAGACGGCATTATTTTCTATATATTTTATTTGTGATCAAGTTCTGTGATTGCCTTTCTACTTAGTTTTTGCTGTTTTTATAAAAATATATACTAAAGACAAAAATCCTGACCTCATTCACACATCACGTATTAGTAGAGCATGTATGAGGTATTGGGTAATGAGCTAGGCTTCTACTCACGGACCTACAATTAATGTGAGAAGTGAAGCTAAAGACCCAACCTGATGATTAGTTGAGACTTTTCAAGTATTTCTCTCTAGAAAAGGCATTGATTTGAGGATGTTGTTTCACATTTCTGAGATGCATCTAGGAGTTGTCATGTACCATTAGTATATAAATCCGGAGTGGCTAATCAGGAGGGAAAAAGAGAATAATTTAGGAGTGACAACCAGATACGTAGAGAAGATGATGTAGATGACAGTCTGATGGGGGTACTGGAATTAGTGCATAGTACTTAGGTAAGTCTCATGTGTTCCTCTGCAGTTTGGATCATAAGGTTGTCTGATAGAGCCTGTTGTAGACATCAGATAGGCACCATCTGCATGTAACCCTTCCTATTTCTATTTGTCCTACCTGCAAATCATTTTATTTTTGAAGCACATCTACTCATTGTCTACATAGACTTTAAAGACTCACACTATATTTTATTTCAACTGTTTCCTGCTTTCATGTGATGGAATTACAGCTTTCCACACATTGTTTGCTGCCAAGACCCTAATTGGTTATTGGACATAAATGTCCTGGGAGAAAGTCACCATCCCAACATGAGTTTTAGCCTCTTGCTTTTCCAAATGTTTGCAATATCTTTCCAACAATTTCTTTCCCTCTAATCATGTTCTGCTTCTAAATGAGACATCTGTCAAAGTACATAAAAAGACAAATGTTATAAAAGTGAAATGATATCTAATTTTTGACTTATTTAGGGGGCATCTTGACTTACATGTTTTCATTACACTTGAAATATAATAATTACTGCATGTTCAATAACATCAATTTGAGCAAGTAAACTTGCAAGGACTCAATAAGGGGAACTGACAGTCATGAATACCTACTTTGTGTCTGGGGATTTGCTAACATTATTTCATTACCTTGCAACGGGGTGTGTGGAGTGTTGCTACTCATGTCCACCTATGTAAAGTTCAGAGGCCTCCATGAGTCCAGAATACATAATTACATGAATCAGAGTTAGGATGTGAACACACATCCATAGGACTACAATGTAATTTCCTTTCTTGTTGGAATTTAAAGTGTGATCCAAGGCCAGCAACATCAGCATCATCTGGGAGCTTGTTAGATACACAGAATCTCAAGTGCCACCCCAAAGCAAACTGCTTCAGAATCTTTGTTTTATTAATAATAAGCTCCCTTGATGAATCCTATGCACATTCAAGAGTGAGAAATACTGATTTATACATCATGCCTCCAAAGCAAGCTTCTTTTTCCCTTTTTCCCTGTTTCCTGTCTTCTCTTATATGGCTGCAAAGACAGTCATATGGCATACTTTTTAAATAAATTTATTTCATTTATTTTTTCACAAAACACATCTAATTTTCTTTGAAACAGTCCAGGGACTCACAGTACTATTCCTTGTTTACAAATCCTTTTTCTTTCTTTACCTAAATAGTCTCCTCTCACAGACAATTTCTTTCCTTCTTCATCTTTCTCAATAACTGCAAAAATTTTCTCCAATAAATTGACTCCCATTATCGTAAGGGGGTAGATGTATCTGGTGTTACCCTTTCTGTGTTGTGAATGAGGAACATTTATGGTTAATTCGTAGGTTCTTCACTTATTTTCATCTCATTTTTCATGTATCTTGAATAATTGCTCTCATAAATGCCCCTCAAACATAATTTCTACACACGTAGTAAAAAAAAAAAAGCACAGTAGTCAAGTCGCTATTTTGAATAAGCACCTTAGAGTTTCTCCTTTCATTTTGTTTATAGCTTATAAATACAGTTTCTACTTACACTGTGTATCACACAGTTAAATCTGAATGATACATTGAGATCATTTTACTAAATGTTCCAGAAAATAAATATTCAAATTCATTTAAATTCAATAAAGGAGTCGACTCATTTCATTTTACTATTACAAATTACTTATAATTTTTGGTGATCAGTGACATTATGTAATTAAACACACACATTTTTCTTTTAATTTTGAGATATTTTTATGATAATATAAATGTGTGAGATCTTTCATAGATGATTATATATGTGATTAACTTTTTTAGATAGCCTTAGAATGAAAAAAATCTCTCCAATTAAACTGTTATTTTTTAGAAATACTTCATTAGCTTTTTCTGCAATGACAAAACTTTTACCTATTTATGATTAATAGAATTACCCATGCTTCATGTTTTAAATCAAACCCGGAATTTAGACAACTAAAGTAATCTCAAAATTATGAATTTATTCCTTATACAGCTACTTATTTATTGTTTTTTCACCTGTCCTGGGATAAGATGATAAAACAATATATGGCTCCTGCCATAATATTATGATTAAACCCACATATAAACACTAAAATTACGTGAATTTTTACTAAAATTGCATGAATTACATGTATTGGGGTCAGTGCTACAGTGTTGTCTGTTCACAGTAGAGGTGCTATTTGGCTTGAGCCTTGAGGAATAATGGCAGATCAATGGGTTTAGTACTGAAGGCAAAGAAATGAGGAATGCTGGCATATGCTGTAGCAGTGACTGAGAGGAGGCGATGGTGGGATATGAAGTTGGACAAGAGGGTCAAGGCCAGTTCAAGACAACACATGCACCATGCAAAGAAGGGAACAGCCATGAGAAGCCATTAAAGAGCCCCATCCCATATTATCCAATATATATTTAGTACTCGCCATTTGCCAATGATTGTGCTAGTGACTGTGTATGCAATTCAGTTGTGTATGTAAAGGAGAAAAAAAATGATGAGTCTCAGGGCATATTAAACAAAGTAGAAGATATGGGATTTGAACCAAAGATCCACTGTTTTCAACACTCATTCTTCTTCTTTATAATCATAAAATATATCATTTATACAAAAAATATATATTATATTTATAAAATGTGAAAAAAACAACATTAGTATTCCCATGTACCCCATTTAAAAAATGTGAACATAATAACACCATTGAGACAAGTCCTGTGCTCCTCTGAGATGTAAATTATCTTCCTTAGCATTCCTAAGTTTGTAACTATGTCCCCATAATATATTATATCTTATCATACAGAAACGTATTTAAATAGTTTTAACACATAATGTATATTTTGGTGATTTTTAAGAAATTCAACCTTATGTTTGTGAGATTTGTCCCTGTTAACGTGGCTGTAGAGAATTTACTTTCAGGGTTCATTTGTGTTTCAACCTCATTTCTTGTTTCTAGATTTTTGCTTTACTATCAATGACACTAGAGAATTTTTATGTAAGAAATATTCATCTTTAATTCTGCAAGAGATAATCCTAAGTAGTTTTCCAGGTTTTTTTCAGTGATTTACACCCCCATTCTCACAATCTGCTTTCCATGACCTTGTCAATAAAACTTCATTATTTTTTTTAAATTTAAGATAATCTACTGGGTTGTAAAGGCATTTCAATAATCCAATTTCTACACAGGTTTTTTTTTTTCTTATAACTTGTTGATTTTTATATTTCTGCTCTTGTGAAAGCCAACTCCTGATTTGAAAGTTGCTTTTTCTTATTGATATATATAGGATAGGTATTTTTTACATATTCTGGATACTAATTCCTTTGGCAATTATGTGTCTTGTAAATTACCTCCCAGTTTATGGCTTGCCCTATGATTTTGACAGGCAGAGGTTCTTAATTGTAGTACAGTTAAAGATATCAGCCCATCCTAATTCTTTGTGTGCTTCATGTCTTGTTTAAAAGTAGCCCTACCCTAAGGTTATGGATATGTATTGGTCTATTTCCTTTGAAAAGTTTTAAAGATCTGGTTTTTATACTTAAGTATAAAATCCATTTGGGATTGACAGTTGTGAATGATTTAGCAGTGGATCTCCAATGCTGTTTTTTTCTATGTGAATGTTTTTGAAGAGTTTTAGGCTGAGATGTTGCACTAGGTTCATTTTTGCTTAAAATGGACTGGATTAGTATGTGACTAAAGACAAACAGATCAGTAAAGAAGTGACTGAAGGCCAGGCACTGTGGCTCACGCCTGTAATCCCAGCACTTTGGGAGGCCGAGGCAGGTGGATCACCTGATGTCAGGAGTTTGAGACCAGCCTGGCCAACGTGGTGAAACCCCGTCTCTACTAAAAATACAAAAATTAGCCAGGCGTGCTGGTGGGTGCCTGTAATCCCAGCAACTCGGGAGGCGGAGGCAGGAGAATCACTTGAACCCGGGAGACGGAAGTTGTGGTGAGCCAAGATCGCACCACTGCACTCCAGCCTAAAAAAAAAAAAAAAAAAAAGAAGAAGCGACTGCAATAGTCCAAGCCAGTGATGCTGAGGGTGTGAACTAGGTCGCTGGTAATAGGAAGAATAGGGAGACATACAAGATATTAATACTTAAAAGCCACTAAAAACAGGATTTGTTATCTAATTTTAATGGGTATGTCATACATTTTTCTCTTTAAATTCTTATGAATTTTCAGAATAAAATATACTACTGCCCTACTATGGAGAGGTGTCCTTGTGTGTCCTTTACTTGCAGTGTTCTTCCTTTAGTCATTTGCAGGGCCCCTTCCTTCACTTCCTTCAAATCTCCACTGAAATTCACTTTTTCACTGGGGGCTCCTTTGAGCCTCCTTTGCAAAATAGCCATATCTGTCTCCCAAGCATATATACATACAAACGCCTGGCAATGAATGCCTGCCTAGCTCTTTACCATGATATGTATTGCTTCATATGACTTATAACCATCTTCACATGATTTGTTTTGTAATGTTTATATTTTCACTAGATAACAAACTCTATGAAGGAAGAAGCTTCACCTGTTTGTTCACTGCCATATCACCAGAGCCTACTTCTGTATCCATTAAATATTCGTTGAATAAACAAAAGGGCAGAAAGAACTTGTATGTCAATGATGTGCGTTCCCTTTTTAGAAAGGGAGGCTTGTGGCGACCTTCTAAAGTTTTTGGAATTTTAACCAGCTTTTGTTTCTCCTGCAATGGTGAAATTCTGGGGAGATATCAGTGACCCATTTGGCTTAGAGCTACCTTCCTATTAGATTCTATTGTAACACTTGTGGAACAGGTGAAAAGTAAAGGTGACAGGCAGTAGGAACCATTGGGAATACACCAATTTGGGCTGCACATGCCGAGGTTAGTCCATTCATCATCTTTATTCCACATTGACAGTAAAAGCAATGATCTCTAAATTAATTAGATCCTTAGAGATAAAGCAAAATAAAACTGTGAACATTAATAGGCCCGTATTTCAACACCTGCCTGGACTGAGGCAAGCTCTTCCTGTTCAATTGCTTTCCTTCCCTGCCATGGAGCTGCATTCACCAGCAGTCCTCCAGGGGGCAGGCTTTGAAATTTTCAGAGTTGGATTGCCCAGTCTGTCTTAATCCATACTTCAGGGAAGAAACCATGATAGTTGACTGAATAAACATGTAAAACACCTTGTAGACTGGATCCTACAATCTTTGGTCACACCAGAGCTTGGCAAGCATGTTGTCTTCAAGCCACACTTTAGAGACAGAAACTTAAAGAGATGTCAGCTGGCTTCAGTGTTGGTATGAAGCCTGATAGCTCAGCTGAGTTAAATGACTCCCAACAACCAAATACATGGCTCTTCTAGACCAGGGTTTCTCAAATGTTAATATGTATATAATTATGTGGAGATCTTGTTGAAATGTAGGTTCCAGTTCGCTATGTCTGTGTGGGAATCTAAGATCCTCTATTTCTCCCAGTCTCCTCTCAGTTGATGCTGATATTCCTAGTCCCTGAATCATCCTTTGAGAAGCAAGGCACCTAGATTTCTGGTCAAAATGCTGAAAATTAACAACCCAAATTTAAAGATATGTGGTTTGTTTTGCTTTTTTGTTTTGTTTTTCTTTGAGGCAAATTACTAGAACCAACCAACCAATGAAGGTTCTTCGGCTCAAGAACAAAAAGTCTACTTTGAAATTTACATTTTGACATGAAGCAAAATAAAATGTTAAGCCTAGTTATTTTTCATTTAATCCTAGGTGAGATAAAAAATAATACTGCTTCTATTAAACTGACATAATTATAGTAAAATGTGGGTGAAATAAAAATAAGATCTTTATTGTATATGGAAAATGTAGAATCAACACTGCTAAAAACCACATCAATAAAACAAAAAATGAATTTAAAAAGCACACTCAGGATGCAAAAGCAACCTCTCAGGAGATAAAAATTAGCATAAGAGTTATGAATGAAACAAAACTCAGGACCATAGAAATATTGAGAAACCTGGCTTATCACACTCAAATAAAATTACTCAGTAGAAACTAACATGTAGACATTTTCTGATAAGTTTTGAAACTGCAAAGCAAAAGTTAGATGTTTTATTCTACATAGTACAAAAAATATGTTTATTTCAAAGAAGATAACCAGACAAAATTTGAATTTCTCCTCTGCAATAGTCAAAACCAGAAAGCAAAAAGAAACATCTATAAAAGTGTTAGAAAAATCAAATGTGAACCAAGATTTTACATCTTGACATGTTGTCCTTAAATGTAATAGCAACAGAAAGACATTTTCAGTCATGCAATAACTCAAGAAATTTATCAGCAGGTATCAATCTTTGAAACCTGTGCTCATATCACTCATGGCAGACCACAGCATGTCCTAGATCTGAAATGTATGAGTGTTTTGATGAGTTAATCAAGTTAAAGTAAAAAAAACACAAAGTACATTATTCATCATTATTCATACCCTCTGTTTCTCTTTTTTTTTTTTTTTTTTTTGAGACAGGGTCTTGCTCTGTTGCCCAGGCTGGAGTATAGTGGCAAAATCTTAGCTCACTGCAACCTCTTCCTCCCAGGCTCAAGTGATTCTCCTGCCTCAGCCTCCTGAGTAGCTGGGATTACAGGCATCCACCACCACACCTGGCTAATTTTTGTATTTTTAATAGAAATGAGGTTTCACCATGTTGGCCAAGCTGGTCTCAAACTCCTGACCTCAAGTGATCCACCCGCCTCAGCCTCCCAAAGTGGTGGGATTACAGATGTGAGCCACCGTGCCCAGCCTGTACCTTTTTAAATAAGTCTTAGTATATTGCATTATAACATTGTAGTTGCTTCCATATGAGACTTCCTCGAGAGCATGGTAATCTTGAGAACAAAGATCTTTATTTACACTTTTACACCTTTATTTGTATTATCAACAATATGCTCAGAAAATGCTTATTAATTAAACGGGCTGTCTTTTGTAACACAGTCTCATTTATATTCATTCTCTTAACTCCTAGATCTGATCACGTTTCAGAATTTTGTGGTGGAGACCATAAAAATCATTGACAAATCAAATTTAGAGATTGTATATTGAAGCGATCTTTCCAAACCCAATTTTAATTTTTAAAGTAACTGAGGGCCCAAAGCTGTGTCTGAAGCATGACTTGGAACGTGTGTACACACAGGTCTTGAGAGGACTATGGGAAACAGCAGCTGGCCTGGCGCGTGACTCCTCAGTCCCAGATTCATAGAGCATCAGGGCTGCTACTTAGAAGTTACTCGTACTCTGTGCAGGTGGCACGGTTCACTCCCAGGAATGCTCTTCTTTTCATTGCTAATCATTGTTCACCATTATCTTTGCAGGCTTTATCAGGATCTCCTTTGATGTAATTTGTAGTATAATTGAATTGCAGCAGATGAAAGCATTTCCTCCCAAGCTCTATGACTCATAACCAAGTGGTTTTCAATTATGTCAGCATGTAGCTTTCCAAACAGGTCTTTTCATTGACCACTATTTGTATACACTATTGAGTTAACTTTGGCAAACATACCAATTCATAGACTACTGTGGATTCTAATTAAACTGAGATGGAGAAAGATAAAATGATCATTAATTTACATTAAAGAGTAGAACAGGGTGTTTAGAGATTTGCCTAGGATTAATTTTATAAATAATATTAATCACTATCATTACTAGTAAATGCTAATGCACATTCTAAAACCCAGAGGCCGCATGGGGCTTCTCCCCGAAGACTACCACTGATGAGGAAGCCTGTGGAGCCAGGTTTATGATATGGGAAATTTCTTGATCCTAGTGTTAAATAATTTAGTATTCTCTCATCCTCCCATGATGCCTCTATAGTAGAAAGGCCGACAGCTACTTCTGACCCATGAGAAAACATTTCATCCTGTAAAGCCTAAGAGAGAATTATTTTTTGAGTTTTAGGACCAAGAAGTCAGAATTTTACTCTTTTATTTTCATTTTATAATAACCAACAATTTCACATGTATTTTCTGTATAATTTAAAAAGCACTTTTATAAATATCATCTTACTTCATTCTCAGCACTAAGCCTGTATGAGTCATAGTGAACACTTGCACACTATCATGTTTGGTAGTCTGCTAAGCACTTTATGTGAGAGGCCTCCTTTAATCCTCACAACTCTGTGTTGTGCCACCTGAGACTGTATCCATTTTACAGAGAAGGAAAGTGCAGTACAGAAAGTTTGCATAGACTTCTAGAGATCACAGAGCTACTCAGTACTGGAGCAAAAGTCCAAACCCACCATGCTGATCTGCTTCTAGAAAAATGTTCTCATGATTGTTGCTCTGAGAGTGTGCATTGCGGTCATCGCCGTCCTCCTGGTTTAAAGAAGTATCTTCCAAAACCCATGTTAGTAAGAGGTTGGCTTTGGTCATACCATCCTAGGAAATAATTTTTTAAAATTTGCTATGGCATCCTGATGAAAGTTTGTTGTGCCTTCTCCAGAGTTTCCATAAAATGTCCAGGTACTTTTTGCTTTCATTTTCTGTTCCAGTTAAACTCAGGACCTCCCTTGCATCTCACCTGGAACAACTGCTCTTTACTCTTTGGCCCAAATGTGAGACCTGGCCCCATTTCATTGATTTCCCCACCATTTGTCAAAGAAATAGCAAAGCTTTGGGGAAATGTATGAGGTGTTCACTTAAAAGCTTACAACAAACATCATGAGAGGTTTGACACTTTTGTTTCTTTAAATTTTTTGTGTCTACTACCTAAATTTCCTCAAAAATTTTCTCTTCCTGATCTTTCTCTTGAGCTCTCTGCTTTCCCCCATGTGGCTAGAACCCTTCTTTTTCCTCTCCTGATGTCATGAACTTATAAATTCCCTTTGGTCTGGAAATCTCAATATTCTCATTGTAACATGTGTATATGTCATGGGATCCTCCAGGTGTCACTTCACCTGGAGGTTCACAGAGGTTTCAGCTGGAAACCTCTGTGTCCGGTTGTGCCTTCTGCCTAAGTATTGCTCACACCTGCTGGGCTTATTCCGCCCACTTCACCTGGCAGGCTGCACTCGGCTCATGCTACTGGCCTGGATCCCACACCTGCTAAGGGTGAGCCAGGGGTGCAGCAGTGAGGGGTGTGTGGGCAAGCAAGCACGGAGACCAGCCACTGTGCACTGGCTAGGCATGCTGGCTGCTATGGCAGGGCAGGCAGCTCCAGGCGCTAGCACACGTTTTGGCTCTGTGTGAAGCTGTGGCTGGACCACATGTGGTACATGTGGCATGGCTGAATGGTATAATTGGGCATCTGCATCTGGACGAGAGGAACATGGTGTTGCCCAGAAGCTTGGAGACACCAGGAACCACAGAGCCCCAAAAAGGGTGTCACAGCCCTGGCTTAGGGATCCCCTATGTCTGGGCTCCCTGAACGGCCACAGCTCTTCTCTCCTTCTTGTCACCCACAATGTGGCAAGTGGGAGGTGAGGTGTTTCAGCCATGTTTTTTGTTACAGCTCTTCTAGTCCTGCCATTTGGCGTATCCCGAGTTCTTGTCCCACATCCAGGACGAATGAGGTATGCAGACAACTGGAGGGTGATCAAGGCAAAGAGGAGCTTCATTGAGCAACAGAACAGCTCTCAGGAGACCCGAAGTGGGTAGCTCCTTTCCGCAGGCAGGTCATCCCGATGAGTGTCCAGCTCTCAGCAGAGAGGAGACCCAAAGTGGGTAGCTACTTTTCACAGACAGGTTGTCCTGATGTCTTTCTGTGAGTCCAGCTGAGTCCAGGGTTTTCCTGGGCTTCAGAAGGGAGGAAATGCATGCTGATTGGTCCATGGGCAGCCATGGGTGGGCCCAGAAAAAGCACCATAAGTTCTCACTCCTGGCCGTGGACTCCACCTGGAATTCCACCTGAAGGTGGGTCTTTACCCCTTCCCACAGAGGAGCCTGTCTGCCTCCTACTTCCTTAATCATGTTGTCCATAGTGCCCAGTCTGTTCAAGTGGAGGGGGCCTGCAGGCCCACACTGAGCCACCCTCAGCAGCCCCAACTCAGAAGGAGGTGGGGCTCCCAGCTGTTCCAGGCTCCCACAGGCTCAGCAGAGCACGCAGCCCCAGCCATGCTTCTCCTGCTGCAACTGGCATCCCCGCACCCAGCTCTGGACATTAGATACACGTAATATCTTTGTTGCAGTCCTCATTTTCCCAGACCATGCCTGAGAGTGTTCCACTTTGTATGGAGGAATATGTGGGTATTTTCATAAATGAGGACCCCTCTACTAGAAAGTAACAAAGTATTTTCCTGAACAAAATTGTACTTATCTATGAAGTAGAAGAAATTGTATCAGTTTTGGTTTTAAATTCTAAATGATCTTGCCTTTTCCACGCTGCTGAAAAGATTTCCCCAGTTTCCAGTCTTGCATTGTGCATTTGTCTCTTCCCCTTTAATTCAGCAATTCTACTGATGGCTTTCCAAGTAACAGCCCCTTCTGTATCATTGTGGCCTTTGGAACATTTTGGTTCCTGGACTGCCTTTCTTCCAGGACCTCAATGAATCTCTCAAGCTACAGATTTCAATAGCAAAATTACCATTTAATAGCTGAGAAAACTGAAGCCCACCAATATTAAATAAGTTACCGAAAGCCAAATGGTGCCTGAGCTAGGACTACAAACCTGATATGGTAGATTTTTTCTATATTTTAAGCCTGAACAATGCAAATTGCGATTTCATATAAATCTCACAGTTCTCAGAGTTCTGTGGCCTGTTTCCAGGCACTTGTGCTTGTTGGTTCTTTTTCTTTTTTTGCATAAACTTGCTTTGTTTGCTTCTCTTACCTCTACTCCTGGTTATTTTGTCCAAATTGGTCCAAGTTTGATTCAGGTAAGCCTGGACTCTTATCTCCATGAAGAATGAAGGTGTATGCCCCAAAACACCGAATAAAGATGGACTAAATGGATGAAAAGAGCTACTCTTGGTAAGGAAGTTTGCCAGGATATTACACTAGAAGTTCAATTCAGCAGCCATTAAAAGGTCTGTTTCCCTGGGGAGTTCTCTACTGAAAAGACATTAGAGCCTTTCTCCCTTGCTTCTTTTTGTATAGCAGCTTTTACATGGTAGCTGCTGAATGCACAGAATAATGTGGCTGATCCATTGAAGACCCAGCTTGCTCAGGTTAGAAAGACAGAGCTGTGTTACTAGGCAAAGTGTAAGAACAATTTATGATAAATAAGTGTGATGAAGGGAAGGTTCTTGGCTTCACTCAAGCCTGCGGTGGAAGAAAGCAGCTTTACTTAAGCAGCAGTGTTTATGCTTGGTGATTGCCCCTTGCAGAGCAGGGCTAGCCCATAGGCAGTGCGTGGAGAGTAGCCACGCATGGGCTGTTGGCTAGCTGCATTTATACCCACTATTAATTGTATGCAGATTAGGTGGTGGGTTATTTAGAAATCAATAGAAAATGGGGTGGTAACTTCTGGGTGTTGCCATGTGAAGGGGTGGTAACGCAGCGTTGCCATGGCATTTGTAACCGTCATGGCACTGGTGGGAGTGTCTTATGCTGATGGGCAGTGAGGACAACTAGAGGTTGTTTTCTGTGCCACTTGCTGGTTCTGGCCAGTGTCCTCTTTGGTTTGGGAAACAAGCCCTGCAAGTCTCCTACTTCAGGAGGCTGTGGAAGAGGGCAACTAACTTCTCAGGAGGGATCAGACCATTGCAGGACAGGAGGCCTGTGGAAGGAAAAGAAGACAGGAGGAGATGGTTTTCTTATTTTAGAAAAAAGAAAGGTTTTCTTCTTTTAGACACCTGGGCCATGACTCTTCACTTGTTCTTTCTCAAGAACAGTCTGGACACTGAGACCAGAACCTGGGACTTTTAAATTTTAAGCATATTTTTATGTATATGTTGTCCTGTCTAGCGGAGGGTGGGGGAGTCTTTCTTTTTTTTCTTTGCATAAATCTCTAAATTAAAATTCTCCAGCTATTGTTACACATAAATTCCAGGGCTGCACAGATCGATCTGAGTGTTCCCATTAAGTTTCTGATTCTAATGAAGGGAGGACTTTACAGCATCTTCCACTGTCTCCCAACGCATCACACCTCTTCCTGCTTTTCCCTGACCCACCTGCCATTTAGAAAAACATATTCTCTCAGCCCTGCTTTGTGCTCTAAATGTTAAATACATTTGATTGTCCATACAATTTTATTTGAAATTCAATATCTGCTTTGGACAGAAAGTGTTATTGACCTGCTGTATCCATACACTATTTACTTTGAAAATAAAAAAGTGGATTTACTTTGAAAAGAAAAAAATTTTAATGATTTTTTTAAAATCCTAAGTAATCATGATGATGCCCTTAAGAAAGTTTTTAAAAACATAATTAGACGTATTTTGTAATTGGGATCATTCAGACTGCCAAGTGTTCAAGCTTTTCCTTATTTGAAGGCACATTAATTTTTTAAAATAATCATTAACGAAGAATTTACTTCTCTTAAAACTAGGTTAGCTATTGTTCTCTCTCTGTCTCAACTAATGAGTTTGATATTCACAAGAACTAATTGTGAGATTTTGTAAAGCCAATGCTATGTCAACTATGCTGGAATAAGACTTTATGAGAAAAACATAAACATACATAAGCTGTCAAATAAATCATTCTGAATGATGTGGTAGAAAGCTTGGTGCTAGGAGACCTGATAGGAATTTTAATTTACCCATTTACTTATTCATCAAAAGTATATAAAGCACTGATCCTAAGAGAAGCAGCAAAGCCAGCTGCAATTTCCCAGCAGTGTAACCTTGCGCCAATGACTATATCCTCTCTGATCCTTTGTCACCCTAAATGTAACATGAAGGAAAAAATATCCATTACAGCATAATATAATAATTACTATAAAATATAATATTTACCCAAGATTCTTATGAGTATCTGATGAGGTGACATACTAAAATAGATGAGACAACAGAGTTGGAAGCATTTTAGAAGACCTAAAGTCATTAGTGGTGTTTGTGCTAATAATGAAACATCTATTACTCTGGGTCCTTTGCTGAGTTCCATAAGAAGGAGAAGGTTATGTAAGACCTTATTGTGGGCTTTACATGCTTTGGCATCCAGTACAATGGAAAGAGTTAGAAAATAGAGGAGCATTGAAAGAGAATCCCCAAGGCTGGGTTTAGTACTGCAATTTGCAAATGAGGGCATTAGTGAAAAGCATCCTCCATGGATGTGAAGCAGAACTTGCAGTAGGCAGCAGTGCTCTGGGAGGGCATTTTAGAGGGGGATACACAGCACTGAACCTTGAAAGATGGAGAAACTCAGTGAACACAGATGGGTCCGGAAATGCACACAGGACATCAGTCTACTTACAGGATGGTTTCCGAGAGCAACAAAGTGAGTGAAAAGACTAACAACTAAAAATGAGGAGAGGTTTGGATAGCAGAGAAGAGTGGAGTGATTCTTCCTTAAAGGGGAATTGACACTTAACATCAGATGAATGACTTAGAACCTAGATCTATCAGTTATACTTTGCACTGAAAAGCTACAAACTTTTAACACTTAGCTGTCCCATCTGTGAATCTCTGTGGCTCATTATTGCTGTGAGGATTAGGTGAAATAAATACATCACAGTGTCTGGCATATATTAAATTCCTAATAAACTTTCAGTTTTATTTTTCTACTTTCCTTTTCCTTCTCTTTATATTGGCAGTGGGGTTTCTGGCCCTTAATTTAGAGTGGAAACACCTTATGGTTTTCTCTTATCACATTTTATGACTTAGATATCTCTTATGTTTATATCATCTGCTCCCTACATAGTCTGGGCCCGGAAATGATTATACTCAGAGCATCTCTAGCAAGACAGCTAGATAAGCAGATAAATGCAGCCCTCAACTTTTTATTAATCAATTGAAACTACTTTTCCATTTAAATCAAAGCCCTTTAAAACTTCCGAATTATATTATTAATGTCCAGGAGAAGATATGCCATCAGTTAAGTATCCTCTGCTGCCTATTGGCTGCTGTCTACTTATTGTAAAAAAACTAGCTATTTCTAAGTGTTGATGATTTCAGATTTGAGTTCATCTTGTTAAGTGGTTCAGAACATCAACTCTTAGCATACATTCCCTACTGCTAAATAAAAGGTGACCCTTCTTTTAATCGTTTTTGTGGTTTCTCATTAGAGAATAGGTAAATAATGAAATAACTAGAGTCTTCCCTTGCTTTCATTCAGTTTTGTGTTGTTCTTTCCTTCCAGTTCTTTGCAACTACACGATCAAAAACATTTTTTTTGGTGCACATTAAAAAGACTAGAGAAATGCTTTAATACTTTCGAAGACTGAATATCTTAAAAATGGCTCCAATTCTACTGTCTTATTCAAGCAAGGTATTTACTTCTTATTTCTTTTCTATCCATTTCATGACCTTGTTTTATTTCAAGCACTATCACAGAGTCAGATGGACCTTAACTCACCTGAGCAAAGGCAACCTAGAGCCACACAGCTGAGCTGCCCTCTTTGTGGCATCACGTTGTCCCTCTGCCCCACAGAGTCACCTCCCCACTTCCCTTTTCCAGCCCTACTGCCCTTTTGTAAGTGTAAGACATCATTTCCTCTCAACTGCATAACAGAAATAGCCTCTGAAAGGGCCTTTTTACAGCTGATTTCTTCTGTCTCCAATTCATCGTCCATACTGCATCCAAAGTCTTCTTGCCACTGCCTTCAAAATTTAAAGCTGATTCCTAAATTATGAATCTTTGTCACTGGGAAGGCAAAGGACAGTTGCATAGTCTGGTTGAGTGAAGTTTTGCCCACACTTAACTGAAAAAAAAAAAAAAAAGATTCCTGTGCCCCTTCTGAGACTTGCTGAATCAGATTTGAGGAAAAATCCTGGAAATCTATAAACTTAGTAAGCATAATAAGTGACATTTATAAGTGGCCTCTTTAGAAAGCCAGCCCTGCAGAGTACACAGAATGAAAATCTAAAAGTCTGAGAATCCCAGGTTAGAATTGCAATACTGCATTTAACATCTGCAGAGAGCTTCCAGGTAAGTCACTTAACTTCCCTGACTACATTTTCCCATTGAAAAACAGAGGTATTACCAACTTACACTCATCACTACTCTGAGGCTCAAATATGACAAAATACATAAAAAGGCTGACACTCAATGTATAATTGAACCTTCCACTTCCCTTTTTGATCTAAACAATTACTCTTCTGAATATGGTGGAAAGGTTGAATGGTACATTTCTCCCTCCTTCCCTGCTACCCTGCCCCCCACATGCCAGCTGGGCTTGCAAAAGGCAGAACTGGATTCCAAAATTATAGCAGCAGCCAGTATGGTCTTCGGTTTCCCTGCAGACACATGAGTCAATGGAGACCCACAGGACTGAAACATAGAGGGTTTATGTTTCCCTGAAAAGCAACAGAACTGGCGAAAACAGCTCTGTTTCTCAGAGATGAGTGCAAACTGGACTTATAATGAAAAGTCACCAGGATGTGCCCAGAGAAGTTTCCAGCAGGAACACCTGCCCAAAGAATAATGTGGGACCGTGCTTCAGCACCACATTCCAGAACTCTGAGTCCAAACAGACCCAGACTACCGGGAAGCTCCTGCAAGCAGAGCAGGACAGGTGTTGATGCACATCTGAGACGGGGAGTTCCTGGGCTCAGGAGAAGGGAAAGCCTCCTGAGCAGCAGCCCAGCAGGGAGAGAGGCACTAGCCAGTGGGTCTACGTCCAAGAACTGCCACAAAGGTCTTAATGCATGGTGCCAACACTATACTCTGGCTATTGCCAAGCTTGACTCCTCAGAGGATCTCTGGGGTCATAACTTGCTCTACACAATTGTTCTGAAGGTGATTGCAGGTGTGATTTCTAGAGGTGGCCTGAGGCAGGCTCAAGTGGACCCCAGATTATTGAGACCTAGAAATGGGAGGCACACACTCTGGTTAGGTGGGCAGATGTTTAATGTGGAATCCAGTATGGGGCATGGTTTGTAGGCAGCATTTTGCAGAAAATATGTCCAATATGCCCTGCCTGGTTTTGTGAGGCCAGTTCCAGTCCCCTCACTAACCTGTCCTGGAGTCTGGATGGCTTGATTAAGATTCTGGACCACAGAGAACCCAGACAACTGAAGCTATCTTTCCCTGCAAGTGGCCACTAAGGGGTCTTTCCTTTCTTCTAAAGCTCAAAGCTTCAAAATAGTGGTGTGAGGTTGAATAAGCCATTTAATCTCCTCAGTACTCTCAAGTATATAGCGGGGCTAACAGGCTGACTGCGGCTAACTAGGATAACAATTCGAATGCCTAGTATACCTGTTGTAGAGTGCTAGCCTCATTGTTATTCCCCTTTTACTTTTCCTTCTTCTGCCAGAGAGATCATCTGGGTATTCATTTGTGTGCTTACCGTCTGACACTTGCATTTACATCATTATCTGCCACTCCAGGTTATTTTTCTCCTCTGAGAGCCAAGGATGACAAAATCTTCCTTAGGGTAATCCTACCTGTGGAGAGAGGGCAAGTACGAATGGTGTTTCTCTAGTACCTGCAGGACTAGTAGGTGTGGGGATGTAAGAGCACTGAAATGAAAAAGTGAACATCCTTAGAGACTGGCTGCTTTGGGAGTAAGGCAGATGTTCTAACGATTTAGAGAAACTCTCAGAACAAAGCAGGGATAGGCTTTGGGAACCAGGATATGGGATTCTGAAGTGGGAACAAATCCAAAGAAGCATCATTCACTCATTTCACACATTTATCAAGACACTAGAATGTGACAGTGAACCTATCAGACTTGCTTCTAGGCTTATAGAGCTGAGAGAGTGGTGAGGGAGACTGTTATGTGGTCAGAATGGTGCACCATCAACGTTCCCCCACTCCCAGTTAGGACTAAGGCACTGATTCTCCCAGCTACTGGGAGGCTTGGCTGCTGACAGGTGAGAGCTCACAGCTGTATATCTCTTCCAGAATTGCCTTTGCGGAGGAGAGCTGACACAGGTGTCAGCTAGCATCTTGCAGCTGGTAGACACAGGGACCCAGCCCTCTTCCCTCATCTCAGACAAATTTTATCTTCAGAGTAACCCCAGGGCTTGACTGAGGTCTCCGTTGCAGCTGCATTACAGTTCACTTGTTCCCTAGACCCAGTTCTTTTTTTTAATTGACGTATAATTCACGCATTATAAAATACATCCATTTAAAGTATAAAATTTGGTAGTTTTTTAGCATATACATAAAAAGTTCTTCAAACATCACCCCTATCTAATTCCAGAGTTCTCATCACCTGCCTGCCAATAAAACCAAAAACAACAACAAAACAACAGCAACAAAAATCCATACTCATTAGTAGTTGCCCCTCATTCATACCTACCCCCATTCCCTGGAAACCACTAATCTACTTTCTGTCTCTATGGCTTTGCCTGTTTCAGACATTTTATTTTACATCTTATTATACTTACGTAGCCTTTTGTATCTGGCTTCTTTCATTCAGCATAAACTTTTCAAGGTTCTTTTACATTGTAGCTTGCAACACCATTTCATTATTTTTATTGTCAAATAATACTGAATTGCATGGATATACCACAGTTTATCTTTTTATCAACTGATGGGCATCTTTCCTCTTTTTGATTATTATAAACAATGCTTCTTTGAATATTCATGTGCAAGTTTTTGAGTAGACATGTGTTTTTAATTCTCTTCTCTATATACCCAGAGGTGAAATTGCTGAGTTATATGGTAGCTTTATGTTAAACATATTGAAGAACAGTCAAATTGTTTTCTGAAGGGGTTACCCCATTTTTCATTCTCACCAGCAATGTATGCGGGGCTTCGACTTTTCTGTGTCCTTCCCATTACTTGCTATTACCTGTCTTTTTGATTCTAGTTATAGTAGTGTGTGTGCCGTGGTATTCCATTGTGATTTTTATTTTCCTCTACCTAACAGCTAGTAATATTGAGCATCTTCTTATGTGCTTACAGGCTGTTTGTATATTTTTTTTGAGAACTGTATATACAAATATTTTGCCCATTTTTTAATTATAGACACTTTTTTTTTTTTTTTGAGGCAGGGTCTCACTCTGTCACCCAGGCTTTAGTGTAGTGGCATGATAATGGTTCACTTCAGCCTTGACCTCCTGGGCTCAAGTCATCCCCCCATTTCAGCCTCCCAAGTAGTTGGGAATACAGGTGTGCACGACCATGCCCAGCTAACTTATTTGCTTAGAGACAGGGTCTCACTGTGTTGCCCAGGCTGGCCTTGAGCTCCTGGACTCAAGACATCCTCCTTCCTCAGCCTCCCAAAGTGTTGAGATTACAGAGGTGAGCCACCACACCCAGTCAGTTGGTCATTTTTTATTATTGAGTTGTCAGAGTTCTTTATGTATTATGCATCCAAGTCCTTTATCAGTTACATGATTTACAAATATTTTCTCCCATTCTCTATGCTGTCTTCACTTTCTTCATGGTGTTCTTTAAAGTACAAACATTTGTCATTTTGATGAAGTCAGGTCTATCTTTTTTATTGTTTTGTTGCTTGTGCTTTTGGTGTTATATCTAAAAAATCATTGCCTAACCCAAGGTCATGAAGATTTGCACCTATGGATTTATTTCTAAGAGTTTTATAATTTCAGCTCTTATATTTATATCTTTGATACATCTTGAGTTAATTTTTTCCTTTGTGCAGTTCTGATCATCCCAATACTTTACAGGTATTGCTCCCAAGTACACTACCCAATAAATCTCTTACACTAAAATATTTATCTAAAGTTTATTTTTCTAGAATCAGACAGATTATTCATAGAAGTACAGGTACAATATGGTAATTGAGGAAGTGGTGGAAACTCTAAGCACAGCTGTCCAGGCAGGGTTCTGACGGCTGGCATCCTTCCAAAGGGCAGGCAGTCCTGTAGAACATCCTTACTGGTTTGGACTTCTTTTTTCCCAGCTTTGCTCTAAAATCTATACTATTTTATGACAGTGTTTCAGTCGTAGAGTTCAAAGCACAGGCAAATTGACATTCAAAACTTATTATCGGATGAAGTTACATATCTGTTTATATATTTCAACAAGGGAAAGCTAATCAATATTCTGTAGCAATTGTTACCATGTAACATACGATTAAATATTATAAAAGTGAGCCTATTACATGAGAAATAAATATAATTATGTTTGGTCCAGGCTGTTAAAAATGCATACTTTCTATATATTATATGTTAATGTGCAAGATGGAGTGGATTTCTGCTTATTTATTTAAAAAGAAATTAAAGTAGTACATTTAGCGTACATTGTGTGTCTAGATGTTTACAGATTGATTGTCTTTTTGGAGATATTTTAGCTTATTGTATTGTACCATGGAGTAAACTTTATGCTCAGAAGTTCTAAAGGAAAAAGTGTAAGAGATTACTGGAATTGAAGATTTTTGCATTTATATGTTTAAATTAAATTTTGATTAGCTGTTTTAAGCTTTGTCAAGCATTAGGAGCTCATAATCATAGAGAGTTTGATATGAAGGATACCATAATCAGCTACTCTGTGCTTTCATTTTACATAAAAAGAATCTTCAACTCAAAGAAGAAGACTGGGGTAATTGGCCCCAGGTTGTGGATGAATCAGCTATGACTCCATTTGGTATCCATATCTGACCATTCCTAGCCCCAGGGCTCAGTTCTTGCAACAAGCTGCCTGGATGTTTTCCAATGTGGCTCAATGCTGTTAATTTAAAAGATGCGTAAGTTTCTGTTAAGACATTTGTGAGTTGGGGCAGAGGAATAAAAGGCATGTAGCTTTTTTCATCAAGTGTGACAACACCTGGGTGTTAGGAAACACACATAATCAACTTAGATGCTCATCAGTGGTGGGCTGGATGAAGAAAATGTGGTACATATATACCAGGGAATACTACACAGCCATTAGAAAGTGAAATCATATCCTTTTCAGCAACATGGATGCAGCTGGTGGCCCTTATCTTAAGCAAAATAATGCAGGAAGAGAAAGACAAATACTGCATGTTCTCACTTACAAGTGGGAGCTAAGTACTGAGTGCACATGGACGCAAAGATGGGAACAACAGACACTGGGCCTACTTGAGGTGGGAGGGTAGGAGGAGGGTGAAAATCAAAAACTACCTATCGGGTATTATGCTTACCACCTGGGAGAGGACATACCTTGTACACCAAATCCCAGAGACATGCAATTTACCCATGTTACAAACCTGCACATGTACCCCCTGCACCTAAAATAAATGTTGAAAAAAAAAGCCACTAAAATAGTATTTCACATCACTTTTCATTGCTAACAGTTTGTTCCGTCAAAATACTTTCTAAATGGATCCATTATTGTTTGTCAGTATATAATAACGTGTGTAAATTCCCATAGATATGCCTGAGTTTTACACTTTTCATTTCATATCAGAGAAAAAAGCTTGAAAAATAACTCTTGATATTGAGAATTTTAACAGTGAGATTTTATTATACTCAAATGAACAAGTTCTCATCTTCATAGCCCATATGTGAGACTTTTTGTTACCAAATTGTAAAAAAAAAAAAAAAAAAAAAAAAAAAATCATGTAACGTAGATTAAAAATCTAATTTCAAAGACTGGAACAACAACAAAAAGAAAACAAAGGCAACAGCACACAGATGACTGTGACTTGCCTTTGGCCCATCTGCAGATATTAAAGCCCTGGGGCCAGAAGCAAGTCTTTCTCTTGCTGAGAGAGGACCTGCCTGCAGCAACTCCTAGGAAGGCTGATGAGCAGGTAGTACTTCCTGGAGCAGAATGGGCCACCCTTCTCCTTTGGCTCCATTCAGAGGAATAGCCCCAGGGAGAGGTCCTGGAAAGTATTATAATAATTGCAGAAATGAAAGAAAAAACCCTTGTTCTGAAGCAAAGGGTGGACTTTTAATTTTAATAGTAGCTAATTATCCGTGTCTGTAATAATTCTGCTGTTTTTGATGTTTTTAAAGATTAAAAACAAAATCTCAGAATAGCTTTCATAAATCAATTTGACCTTGCCGTGAAACCAAAACAACGGTTAATTCACTCGAAGCAGAGATATAATAGGTTCAAATAGCAACATATCTCCCAGAGTCAATTTCAACAAGACAAAAACAGAATAAAGTGGTTCATATTTTTATGTTAAAAGTAATTTTATAGGATTCCTTTTGTTGCGCTGAATTTAAATAAATCATTATAAACCTAATATATGCCTAATACTGTCACCATGCTGTGGCAACCACTGTTAATATTTCCATGTGTTTTCTTTGAACTTTTTTTAATTCTTTGCATGGGTTTTTAAAAGAGTGTTTTAGATTCTGTCATACCAGATGGAGAAACCTCTGCCCCTACTCTGAAGGGATATCCCCAAATGACATTCCTTGGAATTCTGCATCCCTTGAAAAAGGACGACTGGCTGTCTTCTGCATGAGCTGTTCCGAGACCCACTAAAATTGGCCAGGGTGACTGGTACAGTCATAGGAGGGTTCAGCCAAGCCATAGCATTGTCCAGAGCAAGGATGGCGTAAAGAAGGCTTTAACAAAATATATTTGATTATAAAAAAAACTTCTGCTAGGAATGTACAAAGTTCATTGTCCATCCGGACACCCAGGAATAAGTGAGAGGTACATACTAATTAGTATTTTCTAACATTGCTTACTTCTGCCCCCTGCCTAGTCACAGGCTGAGAGAAGAATGCAGCAAGAAGCATCTTAACTGGAGGCCCATTCTAAGTCCATTTTGAGGATGAGGAAACAGGCCAGGGAGGTTAAACGACTTGTCCCAGGTACTGTGGCTGGAAGAGAGGCTATACCTTACCTACTCTCCTGGGTGCCCTTTTACCTCTGTCTTTAGAGGAAGTGCATAGATTTTTCTCATTTGGCTCTTGAGACCTGGGATAAACATAGTGCTACCCTAAGTCTTGCAGTTACAAGAATGGAAATATTCTGATTTAAGTTATAGACATTTGTTTGAATTTTACCATTACACATTTTTTAAATCACAGATAAGATTTTTCACTTGAATGAAAAGTGAATATTATAAACCATGAAAGCTTATATGAGGCTACAAAATAAGTTGGGAGTGGCTATCTGAGAAGAAAAGAAAGATGCAAAATCTAACTGGCAAAGGAATAAAATCAAATCAGACACCAACATAACCAGCTTCTTCCGCCTTCCCTTAGATGATAGTCCTGAAGCTGCTATGCTGAACATCTGATGGGAAGTAAAAGGCATTAACACTCTGTAAAACATGGCAAGGAATATATTCTATAACAGTTCCCCTGCAGATGAAAATTTGCCCTGAGGTATAGTTCCTCAGAGAAAATGAGTTTTTTTCTCTTTAGTAAATTTTTTAAAGCCTTTTTGTTTGTTTGTTTGACAGCCTGTGCTGCAGTTCTAGGTTCTAAGCATATACACCTTATATTCCTGTTAATGGAATTTCAGACTCAATGTTTGCCTCACCTTTTGTGTATAGTTCCTCAATGGCCTATATTGGATACAAAGTCTTACACAGTTTTCACCCAACTCTAGTGATTAAAAAAAAGAAAGATCTGATTGGAGCACAGTGCAGAAGGAGAGAGTGGCATCATTTTGGAGCTCTGCATTTCTGGATACCTACCTTGCCTTTGTCACTTGTCAGGTCTATGATTTTAAAGAATAATTGAACTCCTTTGAATCACCACTTTATCTGCAGATGAGGTCTGGAATAGTCAGAGATGGTTTTCTGTAACAAGTGAGTTTCATTTGGGATTTGTATAATCAGAAAGATGATAAGGGGCAAACCATAATCAAAGCCCCAGAGATGCTTAGCAATGAGAGCAACCATGCTGAGGCATAGTAAACTATGACACTGATCAGATAATCAAGGTGAGGTGCAAAGTCAGGTAGAAGTGCTCAGTGCTGAGGTAGTAAGAACTAGGGAACCAATAGAGGCTTTTGACTCATGGTCTGAGAAGATGAGAAACAGCCACTGGAAGACAGATCCAGTAGATGGACAAGAGGGATTGATTTGAATATTTTGGAGCCTGGGGAGTAACCTAGAGATGAATATCGCCAGGTCATTCAGGTTTTTGTTTGGTTGTGTGATTACAACTAACAGAGACTATAATTTAAAAGCTTGGTGGAACAGATTACTAACAAACTAATAAATTATCCCAATCTCAAGGCTAATCAAACCTATATTTTGGTTGATTTTTCTACAAGGTTGTGTCAAGGTTATAGGTAAGGGGTGATCACTGAGTCCCCGTCAATGAGATACTTGCCCCTGGGTGGACAAGTGAGTACTAGTTGCCATAAATAAAATCAAGCACCTCTGCTACCAACATTTTTGCATTTCACATCAGAGAGCTGAGTTCCGTATCTTCTCATGGTGATCTTTGATCCAAGTTAAAGGCCGACATTAATGTTAACAGTATTTTCTCTACTGTATATTGTGACTCATTTTTGAGTTGCAGATGAGACTGAAACTAGAACTTCTCTTCTTTGCAGAGTCATAAGTCATGTTAAAATATTAAAAGCTCAGAATAGTCCTAATCGGTTTAACTTTGTATAAACACTCAGATATCTTGCATTTCTTTGTTTACAAGTCCATTTCTCTTGTAATTTCCCTGAATATCCAATGGACCTAGAACTGTCCAAAACAATGTAGACAATCGCTAGGTCTAAGATATTTGACTTTAACCAAAATTGTTAACAAAATATCTTTTCCTTCTAGGACAGTGGCTCAATATTTAATTTCATTGGAAACCACAGGCTAAGTCTGAGTATATTTATGAGTTATATTTTCAGCTACCTAGATGATTTACAACATGATAATTTAGAAGGAGTAGAAAACTTGGAGTTAAAAATTCTGAGTTAAAACCTATCTTGATCACAACCTAAGACTATACATGTTCAATGGATAGTCTTTTTATTTATTCAGTGTAGTTTCCTCATTTATAAATATAATAAAACCCACCTGTAGGTAATCATGAGGCTCAAAAACGACTGCACATGAGAATCTTTTGTAATAGCTAAGCCTCATTAGAAGCTGTATTCTGGTTTGAATGTGCTTGTAGCCTATATGTTTGTGTTGCTGCAACTCCTACCTTGCTAAAAAGAGATAAAGGAACCCATCTAGGGAAACTGTTATGCTAAGGTTGAGTTCCTAAAGCCATGGTGTACTTCAAATTAGGGAACAGGAGGAGTTGAACAAGACCATCAAGGAAAAAATTTATTATATACAGATTTCTGGCACGATTTACAAATAGGCAGGTCCCTGGGCTGATACAGAACATGCAATGCTGATATGTTCTGGATATCTGGGACAGTGTTTGCAAAACAAATAGAAATTGAATGCCTTTATGTTAGTCATAGGACTCACTGCTAATTTATTAATTTACGTCTTGCTCAAGACCTATTTATGTCCCTCCTTTGTTCCCAGGAACATTAGAGGTTGCTAACGTTGCTCTAAGACTTGAGCTTAATTAAGGTGACCTTTGAGATGAACTGGTCCTTATCAGGGCCAGTGAGGCCATGAAGAGACTAGATCCAAGCAGTATGTTTTAACTGGCCTACACAGGTCTCCCTCAGCAGCCCTGAGCCAGGGAACTCAACAATATTTTAGGGAAACAAGAAGTCTACTTAACTGATAGGAGTCAGATTTGTACCTGGGACTGCTGATCCAAAGCCTATAAGGAAAAACATAGCCAAAAAGAATCTGCCTTAAACTGATGTGAACTGACTATCCAGATCCATATAATTAGAAATAATATTAGAAGACATCTTAATGTATATAGTATCTTATGGAACACAGTTTTTTTTGTGTGTGTTTTTAAGCAGACTTTATGTACCAAATTAAGAAATTATTATTTTAATGATGAAGTCTTGGCTGGGCGCAGTGGCTCACGCCTGTAATCCCAACAGTTTGGGAGGCCGAGGTAGGTGGATCCCTGAGGTCAGGAGTTCAAAACCAGCCTGACCAACAGGGTGAAACCTGTCTCTACTAAAAATACAAAAATTAGCTTGGTGTGGTGGCAGGCACCTGTAATCCCAGTTACTCGGGAGGCTGAGGCAGGAGGATTGCTTGAATCTGAGAGACGGAGGTTGCAGTGAGCTGAGATCGTGCCATTGCACTCCAGCCTGGGTGACAAAAAAATAAAAAATAAAAAAGTTATTTGCTCTAGGGCATGCAGATGGAAAGGGGTTGCAACAGGTACTGGAGTCAGCATTGCTGTCCAAAGCCTTATATGCACCCACCCCCCCAACTACCTACCTCCCTGGGATAAGATTACTAATGACATTATTTTCCTTAGGAGCAGACCTCTTTCACACAGCAGTATACAAGCTGTTTTGCTTTCTACCTGATGTTGAGAAAGGCCTGACTCTTAGATGTTGCCTGATAGCTACTATTTTCTCACTTTGCATCACATTAGTGGGAGCCGTTGCTGGAGAGTTTCATAAGGAACATTCTGTTAAGAATGTGTAAATTTAGATTACTACCACTGGGAATTTAAAACAATGAAGAGAACAAATTCTGCTAAAATATGGCTCTGACCATCTTTAAGACAGATGCTGTGACCGTCCTTTAGCTCATGGCTAATCTGAAGGAGCTAGTCTGTGGAGACAGGGGCTTCCTTAGCAATGCCTCAGATAAAAACTTGGGCCCAGTTCTCAAACTCATAACTGAAATATTTCAGATTAAATCCCTCCTCCTTGTTGCTGATCAGTCCACGTACTCTTTTCCTTAAACCCCATTGAAAATTCACTGTCCTCTAGGTGCCATCATTCTGTAGTGGTGGGAGTACAGATTGGCATAACCTTTCAGAAAGCAGACAGGCAATACAAAGCAATAATAATATATGGCAATATTAAGGGAGTCTATATTCATGATTGAGTAACCACCATGCTGTGAAATGAAATGTGGTCAAAGATTTATATGCAAGAGTTTAATAACATTGCATTGTTATTTATTATAGCAACTCTTTCAAAAGTGTGCGATGAGAGGGTATTATTTATATAAATAACTTTGCAATCATATGATGGAATATTATTCTGCCAAGATAAAATTATGTATTTGAGAAATATACTTACTGATGTGAAAAAGTGCTTAAGACATAATAGGTTAAGAAAAGACAGACAGAAGAGGTATGCATGTAATTGTGTGTGTGTGTGTGTGTGTGTGTGTGTGTTTCTGAACATCACAGGCTTCATTAGCCGATGGATACAAAGAGATCACATCAAAGTCCACAGTACAATGGTCTTACAACTTTACAATCTTCTCACAAAGCGAGTACAAACCTGTGCTCAGTACCAAACCCAGGTAGACTGTTTTCTCCCTTTCCTGGCCTTCTTATCAAAGCTGTTTCCATGGACCTTGCTGTGGACATCTTTCATTAGAACGCTCTGGTAGCTGTATCACTTAGAACTCAGGGATGCCATTCTATTAGAAAGGAGGTGCTCTTAACTCTCAAATTTTTCTTGGTCTTAAATATTGCATTGAGATAAGGGAATAAGGAAGAAAATAAAAATGCATCTAATGCCTAAAAATATATGGACTGTTGCTAGGCATTTCACCCCATTCATGTCATCTGTTAATTGTCAGATGTTGTCACTCTCTCTGTTTTTAATACAGAACTTCAACAGATCTTAAGAGCATTCTACTCAGTCATTTTAGATTTGAGGTGCTATTCTGCTCTCTAGGAAGATAGGGAGTCTCAATCCTGACCCAGACTCAGTTCCCGAGTGCGGTACTGTTTCCCACTGACAGATGCCACTGACTTTGCCTGCCTGAGTCTCTAAATATTGCAGCTATCTAGCTGTATTCCATCTGCCCACCTGTTTGGACTTTCATGAGTCCAACTGCTTTCCTGGCCTCCCACCAGTTGCCTAATAGCATTCTACTTGATGGAATCCATGTTCCCTGCCCTTCTGCATACCAGCATCTGCAGCCGACCTTCCAATACCGATCCCAGCATAGTAGGCCAATCTAGGTCCAAGACCAAGGTCTCCTAGCCTAAGGATTTACCACTGTGGTTAACCCTGCCCTGCCTGGGCACAACACCTTCACAATTCTTGAAGCACTACGTGCCATGACACACACATTTGAAGTTTTTTTCAGAATCTTCCATGTTTAAACTTTTGGCTGTTCCAGTTTCCCCAAATTAAATTATCTGGAAAGAGTGAGCAGCTGAAATTTGAGTGCATTTTTGAAGTTTAAGAACTGAAAAAAGAAAGGAATATGGCCAATTTAATATTCCTGTCTCTTAATCCACTTCACATGGGAGAATGGAGGTGAAGTGAGGTTGTGGAAAATAATAAAGCCAATTACTTTGCCTGTTCCTTTGTTTGATATACTGCACTCTTTTTTATTTTTTCTTTTCCAAAAAGCAGAGATCAGCCAGTACAAAATGGTGGTTTTCCCATCCTGGGTATATCAGGCCCAGATCATCAATTATTATTGCAGCATTCTATATTTGCTCTCATAGATAGTGAAAGCTTTGCTATATTAATGAGGAATTTTTGATTTCAGGCTGTGCCTTCTTTGCTCGTCTCAGCTCTTGGCTCTTCCTAAAAACTGTATTAGCCAGGAAACTGAGCCCACTGATTTTTTAATCTATCCTTAACCCTGCCCTGGAACACTTAGCAATTTAGGCATGTGGCAGGAAGAACTGAAATTTCTAAGCCGTTCACTCCTGAGACTAATACCGAGTCCTCTTCATTTATCCTTGACCTTTTTAGTTTTCAGCCTTGCTCCCTAGGGGTACTTCCATGAAGACAGTTGCTTCCTGCCCCATATTAACAACCCTCAGTGAATGTCACAGTAGAGTAACAGCGAATTGCAAATAAAGACGGCCAACAATCATTTGGCATTTGAGGAAAGCCATAGCATAAAACAGGGTCACTGAACTTAATAAAAAGGAAAAGTTATGAGAGTAAAGGAAATATCATGAATGGCCTAATCTTTCTGTCCTGGATGGTCTTTATTCCTTAATACCATCAACCACTCAAGGTGCTGCTGTGTCCCTCTCAGAGGTCCACTCTCACTCCTCCTACCTGAAAAGAAACTCACTAGTTGCTAATTACCAATATCCACTTAGGGTGAGTTGGTTGGGACATGCTAATTCCTCCTTGCTGACCCTACTGTGATATTCCTGTGATTGGCCTGGTCATTTTTCCCTGGGCCTCACTTGCAGCAAGCTGCTTAGGTAGGAAACACTTAGAGCCACTCCTCACATTATGAGGTAAGATTCTCCTCTGGTTGTCTGAAGCTGTAATCTCCATTTTCAATCTGGTCCTCCTTCATTTCCAGATGTGTTAAGGAATTTTTTAAAAAATTTCTATCTGTTATGTCATTAAGAAGGATTTGTAGCAGGAAAACGAGGCTGGCACCTTTTCTCAAGAAGCTATCTTGACCTGAAACTTACATTCTTTCATCATCATGCCATTTTCATCTGGTTTCCTGAGAGCTGCCTTTGGCAGTCACAGTTGGAAATGACATTTTATACAGGCTCTTATATCAGAGCAAAGTATGGTCCTGATAAAAGGTTGTGTGAAAATGTTCAGCAAACACCTCTCAATCCCCTGTGCTTTGATGTCCTGCATGCTTTTATAATGGCCACACTCCAGGGCAGCTGGAGACAGGAAATTTCATATAACTGGGTTGTGTCTGAACAGAATCAGCACACTCCACGATGAGATTCACCATATTCACATTTGGTATATTCCCTTTCCATTTCTTTCAAACTTCCGTATTAAAAATGCAAGATTTACATTAGTATAGAATACTAACCATCAACTATTATCAAAGGAAACAGAATGGGGAGATGAACAAAGAGAAAGAGATGACCCAGAATCAGAAACCCTGGGTTAGTCTTGGCTCTCAGTGATTAAGCAATTTGTCCAGCATCACAGATCTACAATGATCTTACAGTCTCAATCCCTCATTTTCTTCTTTTACAAAGCCAATGGTTGGCAGAGGCTGACTAGATTTCATGACCCTCCATCTTGTTCCTGTTCTGAGCTTTTATGAAGTTGATCTTATTGTCATCAGCCTATCATCAGCTTTGCAGGACAGCCAGATGAAAGGAGTGCAGGACAGACACTCCTTAGAATCCCTTTGTAAGTTTTTCAAAGATTTGCTTTGTTCAGATCTCTGAACCATTATTGGGGACTGTAGAATAGGTACTGAAGAAGAAAGAATGCCTCGCTTAAGTTCAATTCAGTCCTGTACACTCAGAGTGATCTCTCTGATATGAGAAAGGGAGTTGTTGACCTTTGGATTAAGTGATTCCAAGAGAAAGGACTGTTTAGAGCGAGGGTTAGCAAACTACCACCTTCAGGCCAAATCTGGTCCACCAACTCTGTTGTATGGCTGACAAGCTAAGAATGGTCTTCACATTTTTAAAAAATCAGAATAATAATATTTTGTGACATGTGAAAATCATGTGAAATTCAAATGTCAGTGTCTGTAAATAAAAAGTTGTATTAGAATATGGCCATACTCAGTTATTTACCTATTGTCTATGGTGGCTTTAGAGCTACAACAGAGTTGAACAGTTGCAATAGCAACCTTCTGGCCCCCATAGCCTAAAATATTTACTATCTGGCCTTTTATAAAAAAAAATTGATGATCATTGGTTTACAGAGATGTATTGAGAGTTAACAATCTGCAGGACATAAGGAAAGAATAGCAACTGATAGTTTACAGATGTCTTCATGGGAAAGGTATTCTAGAAGTTCAAGGACAAGATATTATTGAGTATAAACATACACAGAGCAAGAAGCAGCAGTGGATGTATACGCTTACAAATGCACAGGCAGATGCCCCCCATGTATAAATTTTCAACTCGGCTGTCCTTTGTGATAACACTTGGCAGAAAAAACTTCAATAACTGAACACAATACCTTTAGCGTTGACCATTGTTATTTTCTTTTTTTTAATTATTTCTATAGCATTGACATTTTATTAGGTATTGTAAGTGATCTAGAAATGATTTTTAAATATATGAGAGGATATGTGTAGGTTATATGCAAATACTGTGCCATTTTCTTTTTTTATTTTATTTTATTTTTTTATTTTTATTTTTTCTAATTTTTTTTATTATACTTTAAGTTTTAGGGTACATGTACACAACGTGCAGGTTAGTTACATATGTATACATGTGCCACATGTGCCATGTTGGTGTGCAGCACCCATTAACTCATCATTTAACATTAGGTATATCTCCTAATGTTATCCCTCCCCACTCCCCGCACCCTACAACAGGTCCCAGTGTATGATGTTCCCCTTCCTGTGTCCATGTGTTCTCATTGTTCAATTCCCACCTATGAGTGAGAACATGTGGTGTTTGGTTTTTTGTCCTTGCGATAGTTTGCTGAGAATGATGGTTTCCAGCTTCATCCATGGCCCTATGAAGGACATGAACTCATCATTTTTTATGGCTGCATAGTATTCCATGGTGTACATGTGCCACATTTTCTTAATCCAGTCTATCGTTGTTGGACATTTGGCTTGGTTCCAAGTCTTTGCTATTGTGAATAGTGCCTCAATAAACATACGTGTGCATGTGTCTTTATAGCAGCATGATTTATAATCCTTTGGGTTTATACCCAGTAATGGTACTGCTGAGTCAAATGGTATTTCTAGTTCTAGATCCCTGAGGAATCACCACACTGAATTCCACAATGGTTGAACTAGTTTACAGTCCCATTGTTATTTTCTTAGCCTCTTACCCATTGGCTTATTTGTGCTAAGTTTTGAGGATTCCTTTTTAAACTGATGTTTAACTGTATTATATTCAGTGAGTACAAAAGAAGTGAGAGTTTCAAAACTACTGATAAGAAATGGCATATAATTATTAAAGAAGGAAAAATAAAGAAGACGAAAAAATAAAGGGAAGTTAACGATCACTACCTGATAAATATTTGGACGCGAATCATGATTTTGAAGGACAAAGAATGAAATGTGTGCAAAAGCAGTGTGGATACAACCCAGACTAACCAGCTGGTGCAGAGGGACACTGGTAAACTAGACAATCTTTGCAGTGTGTCTTGTGTTTACAACAATGCAAATGCCCGTTAGATTAATGCTGTTGAGAAAAAGAACAGGAGTTTTGGAATGAAAGGCTCATCATGGTTAAAATGCTGCTGAAAAAATGCTTGTCATGAGGTGCAGGAGCTTTCAAAGGAAAAGGGTCACTATTGTGTCAAAGAAAACACAGCTCCTAGGGAGTCATAGGATAAGGCACTTATAGGATCATCAACAAACAGTAGTACCTGCATGTACGCATTCTCAGAGTATGTGGAAATTGGCTTATTTCAAAAAACAAAACCACTGATAGGCTCAATAGAATGTTATCATCCAGGAGGAGCAGGAGTGATGCTTAATTTGAAAGAGTTGGAGTGTCTGCACACACCATCATTTGCTGCCAATTTATTTAGCACTAAGCTTAAAATCCTCTTTGGAGGAGTAACTTTGGTCTTTTAAAGAAAAGAAATTAAAGCAAGTTTTTAGAAACAGACATTAGTAAATGCACGTGTTCTTGCTGATACATACAGAGGGAAGCAGTCAGAGAGAAGGATGAACAGATTATAAGTCAACTCTGAAGGGTGTCAGTAGAGGTTCAGTAATGGGCAGAGTCTAGAAAATATTATCAATATATACAGAAATGTCTGTGTATGTTAAATTAAGGGAACCTCTGCAGAGACGAAAAGAAGAGATTTTGTACCATTCATGATGACATTTGAAAATAACATTTTTAAACCTCTCATTTTATGGTGACAATAGATGCCCATCTCTTTCACATAGAGAAGTTTAATTTGAAATAAAAGTAAGGAATATTCTTTTTATTTTATGATGACAGTCTCATGCTCAACAAAGATTTAGAGAAGTTAGTGCAACATGGAAAATTGAGTTGTGGTGTAAAATGTATAACTTCTTGCTACATAGCTGATTGTGAATTTGTTCTTTATATGAATTTTTTTAAAGAAATAATTGAAGTTTATAAATAAAATATTTATGAATATGACTTCATTAAGACCAGGTGTCAGGTGTATCTTAGTTCTGTTTTAATTATATACATATACACACACACATATATATTTCTTTTATGTTCTACATACTCTGCTTTATAGCTGAACTCATCTGTATTTGTCCATTTTCATGCTGCTGATAAAGACATACCCGAGACTGGGTAATTTATTAAGAAGAAGGTTTAATGGACTCACAGTTCCACATGGCTGGGGAGGCCTCACAATCATGGCGGAAGGCTTGTCTTACATGGTGGCAGATGAGAGGATGAAAACCAAGCGAAAAGGGTTTCCTCTTATAAAACCATCAGATCAGATCTTGTGAGACTTATTCACTACCACGAGAACAGTATGGGGAAAACCGCTCCCATTATATCCCACTGGATCTCTCCCACAACACGTGAGATTTATGCGAGCTACAATTCAAGATGAGATTTGGGTGGGGACACAGCCAAACTATATAATCATCATCCAAACTGAAAGTTGTAGTAGGATTTGTATTAACAAATATTTGAAATCTGAGTTATAATTTGTCAAATCTATGATATGCATCTAAAAAATTACCATTTTCTTAAAATGGTTATAGGATACTCTAATATTCAGCTAGTAACAAGTGCTTTTTGGGTCAGGAAAACATTTTTTAACAAACTGATACTTATCAAATCTTAGAAGTTTGATGTCATTATGTTGAACTTCTACTACAATTAAGTGAGAAGATAAATGCAGAGTAAAGGTTTCTAATAGCATTTTTTATTTATAATCTCAATATATGTTCATTTCATAAAATTTTAAAAATTAAGAGAAGTGTGAAAAGACTCTACAATACCATCACCAAGGGATAAGTAATAAGTATTTATTTTCTTTTATATTTTTTAATCTACTATGTATATGTATAAAAATATAGATATTATTGAGTAATATTATTGCTTTCATTTTCCAAAACTCTCTTCTAAATAGTATTTCTATTTTTAGTTATAATTTTAAAATTTAAGTGGCTTCATTGTTTTTATAAAATATGTGATTATTTTAAAATGTAACGATGTATGTACACAAAATAAAAATACATGAATATATATTTATATGGAAACGTATACTTATAAATGATAAAAGACCAAAATAAATGTTACTCCAAAGTCTACAACTCAGTACTAATTATATTAAAAATTAAGTGAATATCTTTCTAAACAATCACTCTGCTGATTTATATCTATCTATAGGTATTAAATATCCCAAGAATGTACAGATATCTCCAATTCCAATTCAGTGTTACAGTATTCATTCTAGCCTTCCCTCTTTCCTTATGCTACCTTCCTTCTTCAACAGTTAAAAGTATGGCTTTCATTATCTATAACATATATACTTATTTGTTCAGTCCTAATATGCACATAAAGAATCCCACAATTTTCAACCTATATCTGTATAAAAAACAAGTTTACTTACTTAAGTGTAGCATTTGTGCACAAAAAGTGTTTGATAAATTTTTCTGGGCCAAAAATAGCAACTGTAGGAAACTGACAAAGGTAGGACAAAGACATGGTTTTCCCTCAGATATCCGCGTAGTTAACTCCTTCACTCCCATCAGGTAGTGCTCATGTTCCTGTCTTCTCCGCAGCCTACGTTGGTGGACTATTAATAGCATAATCTCACCCTCCACCCCACCTAGACCATCTTGATCCTTTTTCTCCTACTTTGTTTCCCATAGCACTTATCACATTATAGCGTGCATGTTCAACATACACATTTTTTTTTAAAGTGTACTTTTACATCTCTGAAAGGTGGATTCTGATAATCAATGACATCATAATTCAATTGGAGGCTTGCAATGTACTGTATTTTAGATTTAATAAGTCATGGCACATAATTTGCTTATTTATCTTACATTCTATTTTGCCCAATTAGGATGGATAAGTTGACAAAGTCAAAGTTATTAAAGAGAATATCGTAACTGCTATAAGAAAGCAAACCTCAAATCTCAGTGCATTAAAAGAACAAGGGTTTATTTTTCTCTTGTGTCATCGCAGGCACTCTGTTCCACATAGGGAACAGAGCACCCTCTGTTGGATTCTCTACCTCCAGTCAGCTTAAAATGGAGAGGGTTGAAAATTACTTAAAAGTACTGTATTCAAGAGAAAGCCTGGAATTAGAGTTTATCACTTCTGCCTCGTGTCTTTTTTTTTCTGTATTAATCAGAGTATTCTAATTGCTGTGATGTTGTGGGTTGAATCCTGTATCCCCTAAAAAGACATACTAAAGTCTTAAGCCCTAGTACCTGTATCGTAATGTAATATTACTTGAAAATAGTCTGCAGATGTAACCAAGTTAAGGTGGGATCATACAGGATTAATTGGGCCCTGAATCCAATGCCTGATATCTTCATAAAGAGAGAGAAACTTGAAGATGGAGGACACACAGAGAAGAAGTTCATGGGATGACTGAGGCATGGACTGGAGTTATGCTGCCAAAAGCCCAGGAACACAAAGGATTGCTGCCAATAGCCAGAAACTGGAAGAGGCAAGGAAGGATTCTTTCCTACAGCCATTGGAAGGAGTATGGCCCTGCTAACCCCTTGATTTAGGACTTCTAGCCTCTAGAATTGTCAAAGAATGAAATTCTGTTGTTTTAAGCCATTTGGTTTATAGTAATTCATTACACCTGCCCTGGGAAATTAATACCCCACTCCTTGTACCAAAATGCGTATCAGCGTTCTCTAGAGAAACAGAAGAAATATGAATAGTGATGATTAATTAGTATACTGATCTACATTATACTATAATCACATTATATAATCATATCCTATATGAAGAGATTTATTTTAGGGAGTTGGCTTACATGATTATGGGGTCTATTTAGTCTGAGATCTGTAGGGCAGGCCAGCTGACTGGAAATTCAGGCAGGAGTTGGTACTGTATCCTTGAGGCAGAATTTCTTTTTCCAGAAAAACTTCAGTTTTGCTCTTCAGGCCTTTAGCTAATTGTAGGATGAGGCCCTCACAAACTATTGAGGGTGAACTTCTCTTACTTAAAGTCAACCAATTGTAGATGTTAACCATATCTCCAAAATTCTGTCACAGCAACATCTGAATTAGTGTTTGGTTAAATAACTGGGTACTATAGCCTAGTGAAGTTGACATATAAAGGTAAGCATCACATATGAAAAAGTAAATCAACATTTTTGCTACTTGACCCAACAAAAGTTTATTTCTTTCTCTCATCATGGCCAAATATTGTGTCTATTGGTGTGGATGGAGAGGAATTCTGGCCTCCATATAGCCACAGAAAAAATTGGGAATGAATTTAGAAATACAGAACCCATCTCGCAGCTCATCCCTCTAGGGCTGCAGGATAATTTTAAAAATCACTTGAGGTCAGGAGTTTGAGACCAGCCTGGTCAACATGGCGAAACCCCATTTCTACTAAAAATACAAAAATTTTCCAGGCGTGGTGGTGTGCGCCTGTAATCCCAGCTACTTGGGAGGTTGAGGCAGGAGGAACACTTGAACCTGGGACACAGATGTTGCAGTGGGCTGAGATCACACCACTGCACTCCAGCCTGGGCAACAAAGCGAGACTGAGTCTAACAATTAAAAAATAAAGGGCTTCAAGTGTTATATGCTTGTTTTGACTTGTATACATGCCAGTAGTGATGCCTCATACAGAACTTGGCTTACCGAATGATCAATACACATTAACTCTCTTTTTTCCTTTCATATCTGGGAATAAAGTTGATGAAGCTGCATCATCTAGCCCAGGAACTAGAATATATCTTTTTTCTTACATTGGTCAGAACTCAGAAACTTGGCTCTGCTTACCTGCAAGGGCATCTGGTAAATATAGTCTTCCTGTGTGCCTGAGAGGGAAATGAAATGTTTTGATAGATACATCATAACCCTGTCTTTGCTGTGTAGGGCTTTTCTGCTTTGTTCAATGTTATAATCCAAGCATCTAGAATAGCTCATACAGTAGTTCCTGCTAATTCATGAGGGACATGTTCCAAGGCCACAGAGAACGCCTGAAACCATGGATATTACTGAATCCCATGTTTTTATTTTTTAATTATTTTCTTAGATACAGCATCTCAATCTGTCACCCATACCAGAGTTGTAGTGGTGGTATTATATGTCGCTGCTGCCTCAAACTTCTGGCCTCAAGTGATCCTCCTGCCTCAGCCTGTGGCGTAGCTGGGACTACAGGCGCAAGCCACCACACCTGGCTAAAACTATATTTTCTTTTATACATGCACACCTATGATAAAGTTAATTTATAAATTAGGCACAGTAAGAGATTAACAACAATAACTTATGATAAGATAGAATAATTATAACAATATACTGTACTAGACACTATGTGAAGATGATCTATCTCTCTCAAAATACTATAATATTTTTGGACCATAATTGACTATAGATAACTGAAGTCACAGAAGGTATATTTGTGGAGAAGATGGGGGACTACTGTATTAGACTCTGAAACATGCTTATTGCATTAGTAATTGCTATGATTTGAATGTTTGTCCCCTCCACAACTCATGTGGAAATTTGTCATTATAACAGTATTACGAAGTGGGACATTTAAGAGGAATTATGTCATGAGGGTTACACCCACCTTATGGGTGGGACGGGTGTCATTCTCAAAGGACAATTTAGCTCCCTTTGCTCTCTCTGATCCTCTCTGCCCTTCCTTCCATCATGGACTGATGAGCAGGAAGGCCCTTATCAGATATTGGCCAGCCCCCAATCCTAGACTTTCCAGTCTCCAGAAATGAGAGCCAATATATTTCTATTCATCGTAAATTACACAGTCTGCGGTATGCTGTTTTAGCAGTACAAAACAGACTAATACAGTAATGAAAAAGGAAAATGCCAACATAAAATCAATAATAAATACAAGGAATTCTGAAGGAATAAGCTTAAGCATATTAGTTATTAAAATAAATACAAACAACTGAATTCTCTCATCTAAAGACAGATGTTAGGTGAGCACAGCAAAGCACAGCTATCTACTGTTTAAAAGAAACACCCTTCAATGATAAGATGGAAAATGAAGGGAAGGGAGAAGGGATACTAATCAAATGCATTTAAAAAAATTGGAAAACATAAAGTTAAAAAGTAGCAATATTAATGAGCAGCGAGATGCAAGGGAAGGTTAATGGGATGAATCAGGATAAAATGAGACATTAAGTAATGATAAAAGCACAATTTATCAAGATGATATCCAGCCGTTAACCAATATAAACCTATCTACATAGCAACTAAGTATATATGGCAAAACATATTAGATTTATAAGAGTTTGTTGCAAACATAATTATAATTGAAACCTCCAACATATCATTTGTCATAGTTAAATAGATCTATATATAAATATATATAAGAACACAAATAAATTAACTAAGACTATGAATGCCATAAATAGCTGGGAATTTAAATGAAATTCCTGCATATTAGCAAAGAAAAATAAATCACAGACAATGGCAGAAATTATAAAAGAAAGCTAGCTAGCTAATATGTTCTGGTGAGTGACTCCTTTTATGGGCCTCGTTTATTTGTTTCAAAAACATTTCCTTAAGTGTCTCTTTCTAATTAAATCCCATTATGCACAATGATGGACTCTGTATTTAGTCCTTATTGATACAATACTGCTGCACTCTCTATTAATCCAAATATACAGAAGATGTTGGGAGTCAGAGTGCAGTGCTGGGGAAAGGGCTAACCCCGGATGCCAAAACTGGTTTTGAGTCCTGCCCTTGTTATCACTGATGCAATTTAAAATCTCTGATAGTTGCAGTATGTATCTTGAATCCCAAACTGGAGTTCAAGTTTGAGATATTACTTACTAGTTATATGATCTTGGACAATTTACTTACCCTTATTGAGATTCAACATTCTTATATAAAAATGGAGAAACAATCTCTCGGGATGCAAGTCTGTCTACAACTTAACAACATTTTACAGGATAGTACAAAATAGTTAATCTCCTAGGATCCAAAACGCCTCTACAATCTTTTTTTTTTTTTTTTCCAAATAAGAAGCTGTATTTGTGTTAGAATAACTAAAAGACTGATGAAGACAGTGTTTGCAAAATAAAATAATGCTTTCCTCAAAGGAACAACAAAGGATTAATTAAATGAGTATTAAAAAAAAAGTCTTTGCTTCTATTTCTCAAATTTCAAAAAAATAGGTTGGAAATTTAAAGGGCTTCACAGGCCAGGAGTGGTTGCTCACGCCTGTAATCCCAACACTTTGGGAGGCTGAGGCCGGCGGATCACTTGAGGTCAGGAGCTTGAGACCAGCCTGGTCAACATGGTGAAACCCCGTTTCTACTAAAAATACAAAAGTTTTCCAGGCATGGTGTTGTGCACCTGTAATCCCAGCTACCTGGGAGGCTGAGGCAGGAGGAACTCTTGAACCCGGGACGCAGAGGTTGCAGTGAGCTGAGATCACACCACTGCACTCCAGCCTGGGCGATAAAGCGAGACTGCATCTCAAAAACAAATAGAAAATAAAAAATAAAGGGCTTCAAGTATTACATGCTTGTTTTGACTTCTATACATGCCAGTAGTGGTGCCTCATACAGGACTTGGCTTACTGAATGATCAATACACATTAACTATCTTTTTTCCTTTCATACCTGGGAATAAAGTTGACGAAGCTGCATCATTGCTCTTACTGTCATAACCACTGATGTTATCCCTACTCAATAAGCCCTTCCTGAAGAGGCCAGATGATTTCCTTTTTTACACTTATGTCATTATTGAAAATGAGGAATTGGTGATCTACAAAATAAGTTGTGATACTGGAAGGAAAACGCCAATGTGTGCTTATACGTGTAAGGCACAAGGGGATTAAAAACATGCCTGGGCAGGCAAAAAAAAAAGGGTGTAGATGTTAAAAATCTTTATAGGAGAAAGACAGAAGTTGTGGGAAATGGATAAACTGGAAATAGAAAATAAAAAGGAAAAAAAACAAACAGAAAATAAGTCAATGCAACATTTGTCTCAAACCTTTGCAATATATGAGGGAGAAAAGTAGATATGGAAGAGTATAAATATTTTAACAAAAGGAAAAAATGAATAAAATGAAAAGATACAACACAGTGGATATTTTATCTACCTTGAATATTTCTGTGAAATCGAATCACAAAAAGTACTAAGAAGGAATATTAATGCAACCTAAACTTAAAGCTACCATAAATACATACACACATATAGCACACTGAGAAGTGAGTAGACCTCAAACTTAAAGTGCATAAGATTAACCCTGGGAATTTATTAAACATACAGCTCATAGAATTTGCATTTTTATCATGCACTGTAGCTGATTCTGATACAGATTGTCAACAGTCTATAGTTGAGAAACACTGTCTGGTTGAACTATACTTCAACATTACCCCCGGAGAGATGAATGTCCTCCTAGTATTTTCATCCTGTTTCATGGGTGGGATTATAGACTCAGGACAACTTAGAGAACTGAAAATCATGTTTTTAGCTATGCAGCAGATACCACTATACTCTGAATGAATACTCTGTATCAAGCAGAACACTCACGAGGCTTTTTTCTAACCAGTGGATTTTGGCTACGAGAGAAAAAGAGATAGCAAACAAGCTTGGCACAAGATTCAGAAGAAAAGAGACTTGAAGCCTCCCTGGAAGAGAAGATAAGACAACCTGCAATGCTTAGAGGATATTTAATTTCAGCATTCTGAAATTTGGGGAATTATAATAGCAGATGATGATTATGCTCTCCACAGATTTATTAAAATACATTTTAAAAAAATGCATTTTTATGAAACAAATAGAGCTTACTTTAAGGGATCCCTGAATGATTATTATTTTTCAGTATCAAATAGAATTCAAAGAAGAAAGCTGTTTAATGTTCATTTATGAAGGACTGCCAAAAATTCAAAGGTAGAAGATTCTCTGCTTGAAAAAGCAGAACAATCAGCACAAATGGAAGATTTTGAGAGTAATGTCAAGACGGTGTGTGTGTACAATATGAAGATAATAAAACAAATACATAATTGTAAGCATTGCATATAATGGGGTATAATAACTTCTAAATACTTCATTTCTAAGAAAAGGATATCCACTTATAAACGATATAAATCTGAAGTTCTCATTACATAAATTCTGCAGTAGTTTGGTTTTGGAGTTGTGGTGCAAACAGAACCACATAGAATATACAAAATACGCACCTACTATGAGCGAGATTGTGCTTGTGCTTTTATCAATTAAGATAATGTTCAGCTGCAAGAGCCAGAAAACTCAATTAAACCATGGTTTGAGTAAATTGTGGGTTTTGTTTTTCTGAAGTTGTGGGAAGTACAGAGGTGTAGGAGTCTGGGGCTGTTACAGCACTGCAGACTCATCAGAGATCCAGTTCCTTAAGTTCTTCTCATCTACCATCGTAGCATGTGGTTTTCCAAACTCATGCAGCTGCCTTCGAATTGCAGGAAGGCTGCTCTGTCCAGCCTCCAGGCTGAAGAAAGAGGGCACCCAGCAAATGGCATGTGGCAATTAAATCTGTCTTTAGAAAGAGCTTTTCTGAAAGCCCCATTTGGAAATTATCTGCTCCAGTCTTATAAAACAGCACTGTGTCACATGACCACCCTACATGGTACAAAGAAGGCTGCAAAATTCAGGATTTTAGTTGGCTACGTTGACACTTTGAATAGATGTGGTACAGTGGCGAGTAGATATCAAGTAGGCAAATAGCAATGTCTACCAAATTAGATATATTATCTAATTTAATTGTTTTACAAATTACATGCATTTCATTTCTTCAATAGATGAGGAACTGAAACATAGAAATGTTAAGTAACTTATCTAAGGTCAAACATGGTTACTGAAAGGTACAGTCTGGTATGAAAGCCCATATAATTAAATGCGAATATCTTTTCCCACTATATCACATTCCTTTAGGTACCACCAAGCCAAATATTTTCAGATGGTAATTTTCAGAAAAATGTGTATATCATGAATACTTCAGTCAGATGTATTTTGATGGTGGAGACTACATTTCCTCACCTGAGACTGAAAATTTATTTAGGGCACCGACCATGTCTTCAACACTTTTGCATTCCCAGTGCGTAGTCCAGGGTTGTATCAGTAGAAACCTTGAGATGCTGGCTAAATGTGGATTAAGAAATTGTATTTTAAGCTCACAGAATTCGACAAGATTTTAAAATTTTATTTATTCTAATATCCTCACAAGGTTCACAGAGCATGTTATAGAGTAGGCATTGAGTAAATATTTGCTAACTTTAAATAAGTAATTAAAATTTGATTTTATTGCGAGATATCAGAGAAACATATATGCAGAGAAAAAAGCATGACAGTAAAAGGAGTAGTTTGTATTAGAGTCATGAGTTTGACACAAAGCTCACAGGGAGCTGGAAATGCATGAATGGATAAATTGGCCTTTGCTGCACTTCAATATGATGAATTTCATTGAGTCACTAAAAAATATTTGTTGAGCACCTACTTTATATCTGACATTGTGTTGGATGTCATAGATACAATGAATAAAACAACACAAACACGTCCTTGTGGCTTAAATTTTGTCTTCTAAAGATGTATATGTTATGTCCTGCCCAAGACTATAGGAATCCAACTCTTGCATCAAGGTAACCCAGATGTGAGGACATGGATTCAAATGAGATCATTTTGGAGCTTTATGATTTGACTGCCCTGCTGGATTTCAGACTTGCATGGGGCCTGTAGTCCCTTCATTTTGGTCAATTTCTCCAATTTGGAATGGGTGTATTTACCCAATGCCTTTACCCACATTGTATCTAGGAAGTAACTAACTTGCTTTGATTTTACAGGCTCATAGGTGGAAGGTACTTGCCTTGTCTCACATCGGACTTTGGACTGTGGACTTTTGAGTTAAGGCTGAAATGAGTAAAGACTTTGGGAGACTGTCAGAAGGGCATGATTGTGTTATGAATTATGAGGACATGAGATTTGGGAAGGGTGGTAGGCAGAATGATATGATTTGGCTGTCTCCCCACCCAAATTTCATCTTGAACCGTAGTTCCCATAATCCCCACATATCATGGTGGGAGGGACCCAGTGGGAGACAATTGAATCACGGGGGTGGGTTTTCCCATGCTGTTCTCATGATAGTGAATAAGTCTCACGAGATCTGAGGGTTTTATAAAGGGTGGTTCCCCTGCACATGTTCTCTTGCCTGCCGCCATGTAAGATGTGCCTTTGTTCCTTCTTTGCCTTCTGCCATGATTGTGAGGCCTTCCCAGCCATGTGGAACTGTGAGTCCATTAAACCTCTTTTTCTTTATAAATTACCCAGTCTCAGTTATATCTTTATTAGCAGTATGAGAATGGGCTAATACAAGTCCTAATACCAGTAACTCCAATTACCTTATTTGGAGATGGAGGTCTTTAAACAGGTAATCAAGTTACAATGGGGTCTTTAGCATGGGCGCTAATCGAATATAACTGATATCCTTATCAAAAGGGGAAATTTGGACACAGACATGCACATAGGGAGAACACCATGTAAAGATGAAGGGAGAGATTGGGGCAATGCTTCTACAAGCCAAGAAACAGCAAAGATTGCCAGTGAACCATCAGAAGCTAGGAGAGTGACATAGGACAGATTCTGCCTCACAATCCTGAGATGGAACAAACACTGCTGACACCTTGATTTCAGACTTCCACCTTCCAGAACTGAGAGAGGATACGTTACTTCTCTTTAAGCCCTCTACTTTCTGGTGCTTTGTTATGGAAGCCCTAGATAACTAACACACAGTGAAGCCCCTGCCTCACAGAGCTTTACATTCTAGTGTGGAGCAGAAAAGGAAATAGAAAATTACCAGAGAGACATGGTTATTCTTTATATGGTGGTAAATTGTTAGGAGTAAAGAAAAGTAGGGTGAGGAGGATAGGAAGTGCTGCTTTATATGATGTGACCTCTGATAAGATGCCATCAGGAGTGAAAGAAGGTGAGAGATTGAGCTTTGTAAATGTCTGAAAGAAGAGCATTATAGGCAGATGCAGCAGCCAGCCCATGGCTCTGAGGAAGAAGAATGTATTTTGGTTAGAAGAACTGCTAAGAGGTTAATGTGGCTGAATTGGATGGAGTAAGGGAGAGGGGAAAGGTAGGAGGAGTGTGGTCAGAGAAGACCACATAGATTGTATAGGTCCATTTTAGATTCTGATGGTGACTTTGGCTTCTATTCCAGAGATGCCATGGGAGGGATGTTCAAAGCAAAGGGATAGTGTGATCTGATTTAAGTTTTAAAGGGATCTCTCTGGGCTGTGTGGAAAGATAACATAGGTAGGGAGCAAAGGTGGAAGCAGATAAATCAGGGAGAAGCCTTCTGTAGTAAAACCATCCAGGTGAGAGAAGTGGTTGGCTTGAACCAGCTTGTTGGTTGGTAGAAGACAGAAGGGGCTACGTGAACAGTTAGACAAAGCATTGCATATACAAGGAAATGCTTGACAGAGGAATGGAGACAAGTTTTCTAGAGGATGCTTCAAGGAGTTTCCACTTAGGAGAAGCACCTTAGAGGGGACATTGAATATTAGCACTGGAAGGAAGTTGGTGCAGAAGAGAATTTGGCTTGCTGTAGCCATGCAGTCATCCAGAGCGATGAGGTTATCAACCATTACAAGATTCACTCCTCCCACTCATGTCTTTGATTGACATTTCTGGTCCCCAGCGTGCTGCTCTCACATTTTGGTCCCTGCAATGAGCAAATGAATTTCGTTTCCTCTAGTGAAAGCTCAATTTGAACAACGGGGGAAAGGTTTTATTTAAATCTCCTACAGCTTTGAACTCATCTTGGATTCACCATCCATCTGTCAACCTGAAAAAAGAAAAATTACTTAAAACAAAAATTCAAACTGAATTGACACCAAATAAAATATCAAATGCTGGTAGCAAGAATGATCCAATAGGAAGTGCTTAACAGCATGAAAGCTCAAAAATTGGTTGAAAAATTATTTGCATCTAGCTGTTTAAATATTTTGTTTAGTTGCCATACAAATTACCTTATTTTAGACTCCAAATTTTTTAAGAGCAAAAAAAAAAAAGAAATTTAAAAACACAGAAGTTTAAAATAAAGTAAAATGTAAAGATAACATGACTTTGAGTTCAGTGAGATTGTATCTAATTTTGAAATATAGTAAGTTAATTAAATAGCTTCTTAATTTTGCAGCAGGAACAAATCTCAGTCTACAAAATGTGGGGTGGATGTGTGATAACTGGCCATAGACATACTGAATTTAAAGGGTAAATACTTGAAACCTATCACCTGAGTTTGAATCCCAGCACTTTTTTTACAAGTTGAGGAAATTTGTTAACCCATGCTTCAGCTGCATCTCTAAAATGGGAATAAAAATAGAACCGACTTTATAATATTGCTGTAGGTTTTCAGTGAGTTAAGTCATGTAAAGTAAATAGAGTGACTGCCTTGATTAAGCCTTAAAAACTTAAGCTGTATTATTATTTTTTATTATTTAAATTTCCTAATTTTCTATTTAAAGTTACATTTCACTGGCTTAGAGAAAAGTGTAAACACATTTCGTTTATCTAATTCCAGCTTCCTGGGATTTGCATCAAACTTTGGGAAGAGGCATGACTTACACAGGGCCTAAGCATTGGTGCTCTTGGAGGACACGGAGCTTGGGGGTTGGGCAGATTCTCTGTGGTATTGACGATCCTTGTCTTATTTTCTTCTCATTGGAGCAGGAGGCAGGGAAAGAAATGCATGGCTCAGCAGCAGCAGCATGCATATTTATTGCTGAAGGTCTTCTCCCAGACATTTTGGATTTTTTTCCATTTGTTACCTTCACCTAGAAAATCTTTAGTGTATTAATCTGCAGAGGGCATCTGGTCCTTTGTCTATACCATGAAATCTGTTATTCTGTACCTTTATTTCTTCTGAGCTAAGGATTGGATAACCTCAAATATTTTTCTCTCTCTCTTTTTATTGCCAAGATCTCCCTTCCCTAAGGCAATGGAAGAAGACATACAGGAGAGAAGGAACTACAAATAAGAGAGATCACCTTGAACAAAAGTTCGAAAGTCCATGAAGCTATATAGTTTTTTTCTTTTTGAATTTGTTCATATGCTTGATCTGTGCCAGGAATTGTCCTGAAATTTATGATATAAAGAAAAATTAAGCAAATCATTTAATTAAATTGCGTACTGTCACTTGGAGAAGATGGGCAAGCAAACTAATGACTATAATAATTAGAGTGGAGTGTGATGAGACTCAGAGTATGTAGATATAAAACATTCCACAAAAGACCATTTGTAGTAGTGACCCTCTGTAGGGAAAGATATGCATTCCAACATTGGTTTTACTTGAAGTGAGTTGATAAAAATGAAGCTTACCAGACTGCATATGAGCAAGGCGGGACTTTGGAATTGGAAAGGGAATGTGGGGATAGCACTGGAGAAGCAGGATAGGGCTGCAGCAACACTGATCGACAGGGAACACTAAACAAGGTGGACTGTTTTCTGTGGGTGAAGTCTGCGTGCTTTAACAAAGTAAGATACTTCGTATCTTAAGAAAATTAGCACTCGTAAGTGGGAGTCGAACAATGAGAACACATGGACACAGGAAGGGGAACATCACACACCGGGGCCTGTCAGGGGCGTAGGGGGAAAGGAGAGGGAGAACAGTAGGACAAATACCTAATGCACACGGGGCTTAAAACCTAGATGGCAGGTTGACAGGTGCAGCAAACCGCCATGGCACATGTAAACCTATGTAACAAGCTTGCACATTCAGCACATGTATCCCAGAACTTACAGTAAAAATTAAAAACTAATAATAGTAAAATAAAATACAGCTATTAAAAAAAAAGAAAGAAAATTAGCTCACCTCTCTGAAACTCAGTTTTCTCATCTATAAAATACCATCACTAGCAAGGATGCTATGAGGATGAGGGAGGAGGATGTCATTCAGATTCCCAAACCTATAATACGTAGACGGTAGTTTCAAGGAAGGATGTGGATTCTATTCGTTTGCCTTGGTAATGGCTAAGTGATGTAAAATTAGAAATTTCTAAATTCATCCATACGTAGCTTCTGACATCTGCAGACCACATCGAAAAGGTTATCACACTAACGGGGTGCCGAGTGGAGTAATTATTTCCAGTCAAATATCTTGAAAATACATATAGAAAGTTACCAAGACTAGAGGAGAAGGTAGTGGGAGCATGAGGGTAAGACTTTAAAATACCTGGATTCAACTGAGTTCCCAACTAATTATTAGACAATAGTTTCCTCCATTGCAGTCAACCCTTCCTGATTTTTTTCTTTTTAAAAGAAGACATTTAAAAAATCTTTTTATTGGTGTAGTCACTTGCATGATGGCCTGGTTTGACTGAGGTGTTAGAATAGGGTAAGGCAGGATTTTACCTTCCTCCAACCCACTGTAGGTGATTTGCAATTCAATGAGCAATAAATTATATAATTCCAAATATGGAGTGTGTGTATGTGTGTATTTTAATGGACATCTTTTGGAAATGCCCAGAAAATCTGGAAAATTATGGCGCCAAAGATGGCCTGAATGAAAGCATTAGTAGAAATTAGTATAAAGTTTTTGCTTAGTCTTGCTTTGGCTATGTGGGCTCTTTTTTGGTTTCATATGAATTTTAGGATTGTTTTTTCTAGTTCTGTGAAGAATGATGGTGATATTGTGATGGGAATTGCATTGAATTTGTAGATTGCTTTTGGCAGCATGGTCATTTTCACAATATTGATTCTACCCATCCATGAGCATGGGATGTGTTTCCATTTGTTTGTGTCATCTATGATTTCTTTCAGCAGTGTTTTGTAGTTTTCCTTGTAGAGGTCTTTCATCTCCTTGGTTAGGTATATTCCTAAGTATTTTTTTATTTGTATTTTTTTGTGGCTCTTGTAAAAGGGGTTGAGTTTTTTATTTGATTGTCAGCTTGATTGCTGTTGGTGTAGAGCAGTGCTACTGATTTGTGTACATTAATTTTGTATCCTGAAACTTTGCTAGATTCATTTATCAGTTCTAGGCATTTTTTGGATGCATTTTTAGGGTTTTCTAGGTATACAATCATATTATTGGCAAACAACAGTTTTACTTCCTCTTTGCTAATGTGGGTGCCCTTTATTTCTTTCTCTTGTCTGATTGCTCTGGTTAGGACTTCCCATATTTTACTGAATAGAAGTGGTGAGAGTGGGCATCCTTGTCTTGTTCCAGCTCTCAGGGGGAATGCTTTCAACTTTTCCCCATTCAGTATGAAGCTGGCTGTAGGTTTGCCATAGATGGCTTTTATGACTTCGAGGTATGTCTCTTCTATGCCAGTTTTGTTGAGGTTTATACTTCCCAAAAGTATACCTACAATGAGAAAGAAAATTGGTGGGATTATGTGAAAAGATTCAATAAGCATTCACTTGCCATATGCTATTGGAAAGGCACTAGAGGCGGAAGAAAATCACAGTTCACCTAATTAATTATGATATAGATATATTGCTACTAGTTATAATCCAAGGCATAATAATTCTACATGCTAAATGGAGATCCCATCATCATTCATAGAAAAGTAGAGCAGGTAACATTATTTCAGGAAATCAGGGATAGCTTCTGGAGGAATTAGGCCTTGAAAGATGGGAAGAGTTTGTTAGAGGAAGACTTGGGAGTTCATCAGGAAAAATATTTAAGCTAATGGAATGGCAGGAACAAAAAGATGATGTGTGTTGTGTACAGGGTTCTATTTCGGGGAGTGTGAGCAGAACAGAATGCTTGGAGTTTTGGGGAAAAGGGGAGAAAGGGTGTTCTTTATTTTTTGTTGTTTAATCTTTCAGTGATTTCCTATGAAAGAACTTTAAAATGCCAGATACCTTCTGCATTTGAAGAATGATTTTTTTTCACATAAGCAGACACCATTGTGTAAAACAAAATATAGTAAACAAAGCCAACCAGGCTTTAACGATGGACAAGCCCGACTTCCGAAGCTACAGTGCCTTGCCACTAAATATGAGCCTGACTTGAAGAGTAGTTAACAAAATCATTTTTTAAAAATGTGAGTTCATCTTGTCTTACCTCACACAGTTTCTTGATGGTATCAGTTGCTGCCTAATTTCCTGAGTCCTAACCTAAGAGTACCTCCTCCTGGTTAGGGTCTCAACTTGCCTTCTTAGAATGAATTCTTTTCACTACATTCTCACCATGGATCTTCTCTTTTCTTAAGTCATCAGTAAAGAGATTTTCTACCATATCCACTACATTACAGTATTTGGCTGCTCTAGATGAATATCTTGGGCAGTTGGTCCAGGACTTACAATCCTCTACCTTGATCCTTTGGGTAGCCTTTCTGTTTGGTTCCTCTGTCTTAGACAGATGGGCAGGAGAGGGTTCCTCTTCTAGTATCTTCATGTCACAAGGTGTTATCCATGACGGGAAGTGGGGGTGAGTTGTCTTTGGCGTTTCTTTAGTGGAGTGCAGCTCAGAGCAGTGTTTCTTAAAATATGTCCATCATTTTGTGAAGTGGTATTCGTCATGATGATATTGCAATTTAAATTCAGAAGTGTGAATAAAAGCATGGTATTAAAACAATTTATGAACCAAGGCTTCAATCATTAGTATGATAACTGCAAACACATATATAAACACATGGCTGTTTGCCATGTAATCCTTCTTTCTTTTCTTTCATTTCTTTCTCTTGAGTAGACTTTCCCCTATTTTATTCTAACCCTTCCATCTATTAACCGTAAACTCGTCTGTGTGTCTTTTTTTTAAAGAGACAGTGTCACTCTGTTGCCCAGGCTGGAGGGCAGTGGCACTATCTAGGCTCACTGCAACCTCGACTTCCCAGGCTCAAGCCATCCTCCCACCTCAGCCTTCCTGGTAGCTGGGACTATAAGCACACACCACCATGCCCGGCTGATTTTCGTATTTTTTGTAGAAATGGAGTTTAGTTATGTTGTCCAGGCAGGTCTCAAACTCCTGAGCTCAAGTGATTCGCCTGCCTCAGCCTCCCAAAGTGCTAGGATTGCAGGTGTGAGCCACCACGTCCAGCTGTGTGCCTTCATTGATACTAATGTAGATTGAAGCTGAAAAGATAGGAATAAAAAAAAAACCCAGAACATGTGGCAGCTATTACAAAGATTGATTAAATTGATGTTGTTAAGGGGAAAAACCCTTAAATAGCATCTATGATAGCATTTTAGTGACCATGGAAAATTTAATATTTTTTCTGATAGTGGACCACTTACTCAAGTGAATCCTAAATTATATACAAAAATTACGTAACAAAGACAGCCATGAGTTGGACCCTGTTGGATAATAATCTAGTGTTTTCTAGATTCCAGAATTGTAGATTCAAGTGAGTAGAATTGGAATGTACTTTGATTTGGGGGAGTTTTCTGGAAACAATTGTGGATATCGTTTTTCAATATTGAATGAGTTGCCACCAGAGGTGTCATGTTGCTTGGAATCATCAATAACTCAGAAGTGACAGAGAACAGCCTGGGTATGCTCTGAAAGACATATAGATGTCACATGTTGAGAGCTTAACCAGATGGCATTTTTACTCATGCAATAAATACATATTGAGTGTCCACAAAATGTCAGACTCTGTGATAGGGTGGAGCAATGAAAGAGTGAGAAAAAGAAACAACTACCCTTCAGTCCTGGGATTTGAGATTTTTTCCCATCCTAGGAATCTAGGAATCTACAAATATGACCTTCAGTTTTACACAGAAGCTTCTTTTTTTAATTGTTAAATGGGGCTCAGTTGCACTACTTTACAGCCTAATTTTAAAAATTAGATAAAAGGATATGTGGGCTGGGCACAGTAGCTCACGCCTGTAATCCCAGCACTTTGGGAGGCCAAGGTGGGCGGATCACTTAAGGCCAGGAGTTTGAGACCAGCCTGGCCAACATGGGAAAACCCTGTCTCTACTAAAAATACAAAAATTAGCTGGGCATGGTGGCCGTGCCTGTAATCCCAGCTACTTGGGGGGCTGAGACAGGAGAATCACTTAAACCTGGGAGGCAGAGGCTGCAGTGAGCCGAGATTGTGCCATTGCACTCCAGCCTGGGAGACAGAGCAAGACTCTGTCTCAAAAAAAAAAAACAAAAAAAAAAAAAAAAAGAAAAGAAAAGGATATGTGTAGAAGTGCCCAGTGACAAAATGCAAGAATTTTAGAAAGTTGATAAAACATGAGAAGATCCTGGGAGACACATGTGAATCTCAAGAGCAGGAACTCTAGTGTATTCACCTGTACACAGTTACTATCACTAGTGACAGAAACAATAGAGAAGTATTTTCTTTCTGAATGAAGAATTCTTCTCTATAATGGTAATTCCTATTAAATCCTTTAATCGGTAATTGCAAAAATGGAATAAGATTTCAGTCTAATGCTCCAAGATGTTTGCACTGCAAAATTCTACCCATTATTTAGTCAAAATCCATCTCTGAGGAGCAGCCTAAGCAAATGATCTCTCCTTAACCTCAGTTGAAACCTTGTCATGCTATTTCACTTTGCTTAGCAGAGTGCTCATCTTGAGTTTGCTGTATACCAATATGGGGGTGCAGTCTCCATGGCTGCCTGCTTCTCCCCATCCTTTGATACAAATCAACATTCTTGTTTAGAGAATGATAAGAGATTATTAAATTCAGGTATCAGCAGTGGAGTTTTGGGGAAGAAAAATAAAGAGATCATGCTCTGTAACACAGCCCTGAGAAAGGAGACTGGGGCTGTGTGCTTTCTAGAAAAGTGGTTTTCCCTCCTGCATGACTGATGGCCTGTCTGGTGTGAGGCTGACCATGGTAATAATGTCGTGACCTACTCTCCACAGTGGAAAAAGCTGTCGGTTCTGATGTGATGGAGGTTGGGTGTGGGAGATTGGGATTACAGAACTGCAGTGGCCACAGATAGACTCCTGATTTAGTCACATAAAACAGGATGATTTTGTGTAAAACTGACATTTAGTTTATTTTACATATATGGAAGGAAGACTAGGAAGAACATAAAACAATTAGCAGGAATTACTTCTAAGAGATATTGAGGGAAGTATCAATTTCTTTTGATTAATATGATTTTTTACATTCCACTTTTTATTTGTGAAGATGTATAAATCTAAAATTAAATATACATGCCCACAAAAATAAAATTATGTATTTAGTGACTTAGCGTAATTTCATAAAGGGAGCATGAAGTTTAGAATCAGCCCTGCAATTAACATCCTAAATTTTGCACTAAGGATAAAATGCTTGAAAAAGGATGAAGTGATAATATCCCTTTCTTTTTAGGACAGACATTCTAGGATTGAACACAGCTCCTGGAAAGGAGCTTTTCTGCCTCGCTCACCAGGAGTGTGCTCACACTCTTGACAGTTCCCTGTGCTCCTTTCCCACTGTGGGATTTAAGGCCAAAGAGATTGGATCTGGCTGCCACACTCCTTCCTGCTGCCATATTCTCTTAGTGACCATCAAATGTCACGTCCCTTGTTGACACAGCACTATGCTCTGGAAGCCTTTGTTGAACCCTATTCCGCTGTCCTTTGACCCTTTTACTTTTTGAAATGTATATATTCTGTGGATCCCATGTTTTGTTTTCTAGCCTGCAGCTTCCCTCAGCAACTACAGCCAGAGCCAGCCCCATTCCCTTCTCCCCTCCTAATCAGAACTCTTAAAGTCTACTCCAGTCTTTCTTAGCTTGCCTGTTTTGCTGTAATAAACTGGGACATGCAGGGCAAAGTCTCAACACAGGACATCTCAGCATCTTGTCCATACTCTTATCTCGGAGCAAGAACACACGGACCCACTGTTGATACCTGAGACAATTATATTTCTTTACAATGATTTTAGAAACTACTAGAGCATGATGAGCTCAGGTGTTATGGTTAGCAAATGTGGAAGACTCAACTTGCCTTCCTCACAAAACCTATTTGCTCTTCTCAGTTGCAATGGACTACCTCTACCTGGAGTGTCACCAGTGAAAAAGTTACTTGACAGGGATCTGTGGGTGGAATCTACAGAGTGACAGATTTCAGTTCAGTTATTAAGATAAAGCATTTATAACTGACATGTTTTGTAATTGAGTGGGTGGTTTGCTCCACATTCCTATGGCAAGTATTTCCCAGAGCAGGTACCTTATATCGGTAGTCCCACTGGGGGCTCCATGACAACGCAGCTGTTTTCATCAAGTTGGAAACGCTGTCACTGAATTACTGCCCATGGACTCTCCACATACCTAGGAGGGAATTGGGGGATTCTTGCAGCAGAGAAGCCCATTTAACTTCAAGGCAGTAGTCTAACTTTTTTTTTTTTTTTTTTTTTTGAGACGGAGTCTCGCTCTGTCGCCCAGGCTGGAGTGCAGTGACACGATCTCGGCTCACTGCAAGCTCCGCCTCCCCGGTTCATGCCATTCTCCTGCCTCAGCCTCCCGAGTAGCTGGGACTACAGGCGCCCGCCACCACGCCCAGCTAATTTTTTGTATCTTTTGGTAGAGACGGGGTTTCACCGTGTTAACCAGGATGGTCTCAATTTCCTGACCTCGTGATCCGCCTACCTCGGCCTCCCAAAGTGCTGGGATTACAGGTATGATCCACCGCACCCGGCCAGTAGTCTAACTTTTTAAAACACAGATCAATATTTTCCTGGAACATGCTTTTCCATATCCCATAGACCAGGGTTTAAATGATCACACTTGGGACCCTTGTATGATCAGAATCATCTCGCTCCGTTACTTTTAGCACAGGGCTGATGCTTAAACCCACATTGTGTCGCTTTGTCCCAGGGCTGCATTGCAGTGAGTTCCTGTTCATAGGCTGGGTGACAAGTTAAAGGTGGCATCCTGAGATTGGAATCAAGGCAACGATGTTTTCGCTTGCTCTGTTGCAGCCTGCCCACCTCGGGGGAATGTCAGCAGCCCCTTTTTGTCAGCATATAAACAAGAGGTTTTGAATTGTTCAGTCATAGAGAATTGTGAATGCGTTAGAAACACCCAGGCCTTAAACTTCGGTTAGTGGTTAGATAAGAAGAAAAAGTTCAAGGGAACTATTGTACAATGCGGCAACTATAGTTAATAACAATGTATTTGCTAACAGAATACATTTTAAATGTTCTCACCGCATAAAGATAAGTATGTGAATGCGTATGTTAATTAACCTGATTTAGCCATTCCACAATGTATACGTATTCCAAAATATCTGGTTTTACAGCATAAATTTATAGAATTTTTGTTAATTAAAAAATGTGGGCTTCAAATTTCCAAGTGTTTTCCAGGAATTTTTGGTGTTAAAAAAAAACATTCATTTTGTCTTGCTAGACAGGTACCTAGTCCTAAAATCTTAAGAATGTTTCAGCTCTGCAGCAGAGCTGCTGGCATTTATTAAGTATGTTGCTAGTTGTAAGATCATTTGGTTCAATGTTGGGCATATTTTCAGACTCAACAATTTATATTTTGCTTGCTGTATGTGCAAGCAAATAACTTCAACTAGGCCAGCCTCGTTGTGAAGAAATTTCCCCGGTAACCAATGAAGAAATATTAATGATTTGCCAGTTGGTCTCCTCGGAGACAGATAACAGTTGTCTTCCTTTGTCTGCCCCGCTACCTAGCTTATATTTGGCACTTCATCAATAAACTAGGGGTGAGAAAGTAAATAAGTGGTGCTTCTACTCTGCCTGAGGATACTTGAAAGCAACTTGTTCTCTTAAGTGGATTAAATAATTCCTCCCTGAAGATCTCATTACTTGATAATTTTGTAAAAATTAGCTTTTTCTTTATAGGAAGGGGGTAAGTAAACTTTGAGTATAACTGGTAGCTAAGAGCCAAGCCGGCCTAGGCTCCATCATGTTCCCAGCACTTATGGGCAATCTGGTTTAGAGAAAGTTAGTTCCCCTCTCCGTGCTTCCGTTTCTTACCAGTAAAATGAACATTACAACAATCTTATAAATTGCTGTGAGATAATATTTAAAGCAGTTCCTGGTACGCAGTAAGTGCTCAGTAAATGTTACCCACTACTGTATAATCCAAAGGTGGGAGTGTTCCAAAACAAATGCTAATTTTACAAATAAAAATTTTGGAGTGTTAAAAGGAAGGAAGTTATATGTTCAAACATATGTATGTCATAGATAAAATCAAACTGTTTTTGCTTAAACTATGTGCCTCTTCTTCCACCCTAATATCTGTGCAGTACTTGACACATAGTTTGCTGAGTGAATGAATGAACTATTAATTAATTAATCTTCACCTGTATCGCTTGATGTTTTCCTGCAGGCGTGAATATCCCTGGGCATACTGCTTGCTTTGAGAAATAGCCAGTGAAGGGTTATGAGAAATAGTGCGATTTATGATCTGTGTATGACTCAAATGACAAAATTAATTGCTTTTTTGTCATCTGTTCTTCATGGATTTTCATTAATTCTTCCATATGAACCAAATCCTGTCTTAAACCCTGCAGTAATGATCACGGTGTTTAACATTTTAATAAAACGATGGAAGCATGTATGTGTGTGTGTCTGTGTGTGTGTGTGTGTATTCATGACAAAGAAAGTGAGAGAGAGAGAAAGAAAGAGAAAAATAATTTACATGAGAGTTAACTTTTTATTTGTATGTCCAGTGGTGTCAGTTGCCATGAATAAGCTATTATAAAAAATTAATAAATAATTTCCCATTAAAATACAAAAATATAAATGCCATCTTCCTTGAGAGTATTTCTGAAAGTTAAAAACTCTAATAATTGGATAACTTTTCTGTTATGTTAAAAGAGGACAGTTTTTCTTTCCCTTAAGAAGATTCCTACTTATCCTATTCAGTGTTTGAATAATTTCCAAATTTTGATTTCTGTCTCTGCTACTGGTCATAAACATATTGAGGTTTCAAAACATTCAGATTGGCCCTCCATTAATCAAACATGCCACTCATTTCTTAGCACAATCTACAGATTCACAAAGCCCGATGCTCCATATCCCTTGTCACATCCGGAGGCAGAGCATTGAAGTTCATGGAAGAAGGAAGAAAGCCATGCCTGAGTTGCACCTGCCAGCAAAACAGATGACAGGCAGCCAATTCTGAGCCATCTCAGCTGCACCGGAAAGTTCTTGTTCAAACAGGCTGTATCTAAAGACTTTCTAATTACCCTCTCATGTCATGGAACACCTGTGGTCCACTGTTTGAGATCCTCTGCTCCCTGATTTCTGTACACTTGCCTCTCCTGGTTTCCTTCCTGCAACCTCCTCTTCTGTCTATATGAAAAAGTTTAGTTTTTATTCCCAGCTGTTCACAAATATTATTTTTAGTGTAATGATAGGTAATCCTTATTTTAAATGTCACAACTCTAGTCTCTCTCCAATGTCCTAGGTACCACAGTCAGGAAGCTTCCTATTTGCATAAGAATGAAAACATGGTCTTGAGGCAGGATAAGTAAGGTTAGGACCCATACTTACTTGTCCTGTGTGTAAAGCTCAGTGGGCCACTTTTATAGCTGGCTCTTTCCCCTTGCACCCTCAGGCATCAACACCTAACTCTTTTGCAAGATAAGCGGTCCTACCGAATACCAACAGACTGTTAGATGGTTACAAGTTCCTGATACTCAGTATGGGCTTGGGGAAGAGAACAAAAGTCTGTTATTCCTGATGTAACTTCCCCAGCACCAAAAGCACAAGAAACTATTAGCTACAAATTTCTGCCTGCTGGGCACTGAGAGAGGGGCAGAGACTCCTCCAGTGTCCCACAGGCATAGCTAGACTCAAGGTTTAGCTTATAGTAATATTTTTCTCATTTTAATATCAAAAAACACCCCTTAGATGGAGATTTTATATGCTAATGATACATATGATATGTGTTAGAGCATGTAGATCCTGAGTGTATGTACTAACCACAGATCCACCTTTACATACTTGACCTCACCAGTATTTTATGAATATGTCTGTACAGTTTCCGTAAAGGAAATTCCCTTCAAGACCCTAGGGGCTATCTCTGTCTTTGAGCAGCCCACTCTGCCTCTCAGATTTTGAGAGCTAATCCCAAGTAAGAGTAGACAAACAAGTTTGTTGCACCTCACTTTGCAATACTTTCGCTTTGATATAAACTTCTTTGTCTACACTTACTTGGGATTCGCTCTCAAAACCTTTTGTGCAGAGAAGTCAACGACCTGAACAAGGCTACTGACAATAGTCTTGCCAAATTTTCTACAAACTCCATTCTTCTTTATTTTTATTTTATTTTATTTTACTTTAAGTTCTGGGATACATGTGCAGAACATGCAGGTTTGTTACATAGGTATACATGTACCATGGTGGTTTGCTGCACCTATCAACCTGTCATGTAGGTTTTAAGCCCCACATGCATTACGTATTTGTCCTAATGCTCTCCCTCCCTTTGCCCCTTACCCCCCAACAGGCCCCAGTGTGTGATGTTCGCCTCCCTGTGTTCATGTGTTCTCATTGTTCAACTCCCACTTATGAGTGAGAACATGTGGTGTTCAGTTTTCTCTTCCTGTGTTAGTTTGCTGAGAATGATGGCTTCCAGTTTCATCTATGTCCCTGCAAAGGATATGATCTCATTCTTTTTTATGACTGCATAGTATTCTATGGTGTATATGTGCCACATTTTCTTTATCCAGTCTATCATTGATGGATATTTGGGTTGGTTCCAAGTCTTTGCTATTGTAAATAGTGATGAAATGAACATACATTTGCATGTGTCTTTATAGCAGAATGATTTATAATCCTTTGGGTATATACCCAGTAATGGGATTGCTGGGTCAAATGGTATTTCTCGTTCTAGATCCTTGAGGAATCGCCACACTGCCTTCTACAATGGTTGAACTAATTACACTCCCAACAACAATGTAAAAGTGTTCCTATTTCTCCACGTCCTCTCCAGCATCTGTCGTTTCTTGACTTTTAATGATCGCCATCCTAACTGGCGTGAGATGGTATCTCATTGTGGTTTTGATTTGCATTTCTCTAATGACCAGTGATGATGAGCTTTTTTTCATATGTTTTTTGGTGGCATAAATGTCTTCTTTTGAGAAGTCTATTTATATCCTTTGCCCACTCTTTGATGGGGTTGTACAAACTTTATTCTTTGTATTGCACATTCTCTCCCTCCTAGGAGCAAGTTTATGGGTCCATGGCCTCTTCATCCAGTGCACATTTTCTGCTTTTCCATTATAGCACTTATTACAAAGAATGACCATAGCTTTTTCTCCATGGTCTCTCATTCATTTCTGAGCTACCTGAGAACAAGAATCCTTTCTTTACATGAAAGTGTGCCTGATATCTATCACCATGTGTATGATGACCACAGAGTAAGCAGTCAAGAAATGCCAGGGAAATAAATGAATGCATCTACTTTTTAGAAACATTGTCACCATCTTTCTTTATGTAATTAAATGTGAACGGTTCATAAGGCAAATTGATAAGGATAGAAAGTAGATTAGAAGTTACCAAGGGCTGGGAGGAGGGATGAATGAGGAATTATGGATTAGGGGGCACAGAGTTTCTGATTGGGGTGATGGAAGAATTTGGAAAAAAGGGGTGGTGGTTGTACAACGTTGTGAATGTATCAAGTTAACAAAAGTAATGGCAAAAACCACAATTACTTTTGCACCAACTTAATAATTAATGACACTGAGTCATGCACTTAAGCATGGTTTTAATGATAAATTTTATACTATGTATATATATATTTTTTTCCAAATAAATTTTTTAATGACCTATTTACAAACACAAAAGGCATTGAAATCTGGGTAACTAGATGCATGTTTTCTAAAAGGAAAAGCTTATTTGCTAAATAAAGAATTCATAAAAGGAAGCTCAGCAATTAGTCTTGGAAACAATTACAATGGTAGCAATAGTTTTTTCCCTTATTCTCACTTCAGACAAATATTATGGCAACAGAAAAAAATGTTAATTAATGCAATGAATTTTAAAAGTGAATGAGTGAATAACTGAATGATTAAAAAAAGAACCATTTAAATAGAGGAACATCTGAGGTTGAATACTTGGGTCCAGCCCAGTACAGTTCATTGCTCTGCTGATCAGGCAGATGTTAGCTGGTCAGGATGGTTTGCATTCTATATGCACGTAGAACAGACATGGACACACATATTTGTGTTTGGTAGGATGGGCTGTCAATTCGAATAGTCATGGGGCTTAACGGTCAGATCAACCAAATTGGTGCCCTGGAAGTGTCTCAGATTTTGTAACCTATGTAAGAGTTTTAATCTCACTGAAGCACAGTTTTCTCATCTAAAAAGTGAAAGAGAGAGAGAAAAAAGTCCAACATCATTGCTTTTTTTGTGGAGGTAAAGTACACCTGATTAGGGCCTGGCATGCAGAAATTCCTTGCTTATTCACTTTTATTTTTATTATAGAGGTTCAAATAAATTCATGTTGAACAAATAGTTATTCCACATAAAATATTATGCATTCTGAAAAGAATATTAGTGCCAGATGTTCATGGTATAACAATTTTTCTTTTTCTTTCTTAGCTAAATTTATACTTAGCATTCTTCATGATGTATGCAATATTAGTTCATCTAAAATCTAAGCTATAGCTCAGAGGCTTTGGGGGAAATACTCATCAGTGTTCAGAGTAACTCTACTGTTGGTGATCTGTAATGTATCTTTTCTAAGCAAACATAGGGGTTAAAATTGAGGCTGTGCCTTGCCTTGGAGGGTTAGTCTTATGAGCACTGATTTCCATGTATAGAGCTTTTTCTAACCTTTTTCTCTTTTTCTCTTCCCCTTCCTTCCATGCTGACTTTGGTGTAGCAGACCACTTGGGGATTGAATTCATGGGTAAGACTAAACAATTTGCTCATTTAATATCCTGGAAATGCTAAGCTTTATGATGTACATAGTGCTTTCCTTCTCCATCTGGTTATAATTGAAATGTCTCATTATCAGATGCTATTAGTAGGAAAAAATACTCTTGTCGAGTTTTCACTAAGTAATGGCTCAAAATGAAATAATTAACTACTTATTGGAAAGGCAATTTAATGTTAAATGCAGTGTCTGGAATCATACAGAAGTTGTATTTGGCTCCTGGCTTTGATTATTTCCTCTAATTCTCAATTTTCATATCTGTAAAATAGGGATAATAATAGGTTCTATTTTCCTGCACATGTAAATTGCTTAGCATAACGTCTGCAACATGGCAAACACTCAATAAAGGATAAAAAGCAATGGTTTTTAAATGTCAGTTTTTAAATTTTTACTTCTAAGTCCCCTTCCTTTTGTGAGATGATTCCTTTGGATACATTTTGGTATCAATTTTAGTTTGGAGTGTGGGCTATTAAACATTTTTATTCACAAAATTAAAATGTTTCCTTTAAAGTATTTGCAGTGAATGGTGTATGTTTCAAAGCATTAGAATGCCTTCCATGGGCATTGTTTTTATAGTCACAGATAACTGCATTCAAAATTAGACCTAATTCTCTGAGTCGATGGTTATACATTAAATGAAGAAAGAACATTTCATAAAGTTCAATATGCATCGTAGTACATGGATGGAAAGACACTCAGGATTTAGAGTTAGGGAAATTGAGAAGATCTAAATTTGAATCAAAATTCATCTGCTTCTTTGGATTCTATTAAATTCAGATTTTTTTCTCTTGTATAATGTGGATATGAATACTTGCTTTATACATGAATGTTTATTGTGAAATAATTATATACTTACTTGTATTAATTTATCCATTCACCCATTAATTCAGCAAACACTTATCAAAGTGTTGATTTGGGATAGCTTTGACATATTTGAGAGACGTTAAGTTGGTGGTTGTATTGTTGGAAGTGTTGAGAGTTAATTAGAAATTTGTGAAATGTCTTTATACCGGAATTGGTGTTCCCAGTTGTATGGTATTACTCATTATTGCTCCATTCTCTGGTTATTACATCATAGAAAAGGCAGACAGCTCAATTCCTGCAGGCTTGCGGTTTTGTTGGATAGATGTGATGAAAACTCAGAAAACCAATGAGATTTAGGATGTTATTCAAATGAAGCGCGATGGAATGTGAGATAGTTGTAGAAGGAAGTGAAAGAAGAATGACCGTTTCAATGAAATCAATTAGTAGTCATCATGAGAGCGCTTGAACAAGCTGGTGTGATGAAGAGATTATAGTCATATGGCAGATTGGTTGATTTTGATTTTGAAGATGGAGGAGTTATAGGAGATGACAATATTCAAAGCATTCCTATGAGTGTAAATAACCAAACTGAGGTTGAGGGGGAAATAATTTGAAACTAGAGGTCAAGGACTTGAGAGGACATAGTTTTGGATAAGTTGTCTAATGGATATTCCAGTTACTCATGATAATGCTAGGGTTGGGACAGAGAGAAAAAAAATGTTGGTTATATGCCAAAGTTTCCCATTAATATGATAAACTATACTGGAATTTAGTAGATGACAAGGAAGAGTATAGTTAAGGGTAATGCCAGCTGCATCAAAAAATAGAGCCCACGTTATTATAATGGCTCAAAGACGGTAGCAATTTATTTCCTGATACTACTTTTTCTTGTCCAAGGTAGATGTATTTCCTGTTTAAGGTAGCAAATGACTAGTTTTATTCAAGTAGTGAATTAGAGATCCAGGCTTCTTCCATCTTTTGGTTTCAATATTACGTAGGTTTCTTTGTTAACTGCATCTAGCCAGCAGATTGAGAAACAGAACAGAGCTGATGCATACCCAATGCTTAAAAGACTGATCTACAAGAACTCATATCACTTTTTGCTTAATGTTCTATTAGCTAGAGCTAAATTACATGACTTCATTTTGCTGTAAAAGAGGCTGGGAAATGGAACCCTGAGAGAACAGAGGAAATGCATTTTTAGAAATCTCTGCCACTGTGTGAATGGCATAAACTTTAAAGGAACAGGATTTTTCATAAGAGACAAGAGAAACTGTACGTTAGAAGCCAGGAGGACAGATCTCCAATGTTGAAAGTGAGAAAATAAAAACAGCTCTTGAGACAGGTAGAGGAAAATGAGACTTTTCAGGCAAGATTCAAGTTTCAGCTAAAATAGGAGAACAAAAATAAAGAGTCAAAGAAGAGATTGAGAATGCAGAAGGTGTGTTGCGGAATGTGGATGAGCAATTTCACTAAGCCAAGTGGAGGGTATAACTGGTGGAAGAGGAGTAGATAGCTGAGTCATGGGCCACAAATTACTGAAAATCATGGGCATATTTTTGCAGTAAGAATACATTGTTGAGAAGGGCACACAATTTGTACCCTCCTCATTCGCTAATGATGGCAGTGATTCGTAGCATGGAGGTGTGAGCATCAGTACTCATTTTGAATAAAATGTGCCCTGGGCCGCTTGTCCAAGAGCAATTTGCCCCACTAGTCTGTGGTGATTGCAGGCTCAGTGAGGCTTTATAAGTTGTTCAGCAGAATGCCCTCAAATGCAGGAAACACTGCATAGTTGGTGGTGGGACTAGGATAGGTCTAGATCCCCAGTGTAGCCATGGCTGTAGCAAACTAAAATTGCCATGCAAATTTTAATCCGTGTTGAAAGAAATGGACCAGTCTCCATCCTGTTGTGCTTCCTATTGTGTCTGAGGACTGCCAGTGGCACTGGTAATTTATAGAGTTATAATTTGCTATAGATGCAATCTATGTATTAAGAGCTCTGTTTTGGAATTCATTTAAAGAAATGTAGCTACTGACACAGGAAAAAATAGTAGATTGTCATGTAGTTCATCTACATGAACCACAAGACTAAGGTAATAGTGAGTTTTGCAAAAGATAGATTCTAATCATAGCTATAAGACCTCATGGGGAATGAATTCTCAGTGGGTGACTATTTGACTCCAACGGTAGAAATTTTCTTGGAGGGAAGGGGTTGGGGAACAACTCAGAGTTCAAGGGATTGGCTGGTATGCATATAGATAATGGCAGCTAAAAAAGGATTGTTTGCAGTAGTGAATAGCTTTATAAATTTAGTGAATATGCTGTTTTCACTGACCTCAATAATTCACCCCCACAGATTGTTCTAATTGAATATGTAAAATTCTGTTTGTTGCTTTGAGAACAATATTCTCAGATTTAACTTTTTTATTTTTATTTTTTGAGATGGAGTCTCACTGTATTGCCCAGGCTGGAGTGCAGTAGCACAATCTTGGCTCATTGCAACCTCCGCCTCCCAAGTTCAAGAGATTCTCCTGCCTCAGCCTCCCAAGTAGCTGAGATTACAGGCGCCTGCCACCACGCTCAACTAATTTTTGTATTTTTAGTAGAAACGGGTTTCACCATGTTGGCCAGGCTGTTCTCTAACTCCTGACCTCAAGTGATCTGCCCTCCTCAGCCTCCCAAAGTGCTGGGATTACAGACGTGAGCCACCACACCCGGCTAGATTTAATTTATGATTATAGAATCCATATGGGTAAAATTCCTTCCACTGAAAGTGCCATCATCCCAAGTAATATGACATCTCTAGGTATGAATTCAGCTGGGAAGGGGAAATGTAGGCATAGTCTATATGTAAGTTTAATAATGTCAGTTTATTGTTGTGCCAACAATTAATCAATGCTAGTTCTATTTGTGTGTGTGTGTGTCAATTTCTTTAATAGACTTGATTTTCACACAGTTTTAAGTTCATAGCAAAATTGAGTGCAAATTACAGAGATTTCTCACGTATCTTCTGTCTTCAAACATGCACAGCTACCTCCCTAATGAAGATCTCCTACAATAGAGGTACATTTGTTACAATTGACAAACCTAAACCTACATTGACTCATCATTATCATTCAAAGTCCAAAGTTTACATTATGGTTCATTCTTGATGCTATACTTTCTATAGATTCAGACAAACATATTATGATATGTATCCATTATTATATTATCCTACAGAGTAGGTTTACTGCCCTAAAAATCATTTGTGTTCTTTCTAGTCATCCTTGCCTTTCCCCAACCACTGGTCTTTTTTATTTATTTTATTTTATTTTATTTTATTTTATTTTATTTTATTTTATTTTATTTTATTTTGAGACAGAGTTTCGCTCTGTCACCCAGGCTGGAGTGCAGTGGTGCCATCTCGGCTCACTGCAAGCTCCGCCTCAGGGGTTCACGCCATTCTCCTGCCTCAGCCTCCCGAGTAGCTGGGACTACAGGCACCCATCACCATGCCCGGCTAATTTTTCGTATTTTTAGTAGAGACGGGGTTTTCACCGTGTTAGCCCGGATGGTCTCGATCTCCTGACCTTGTGATCTGCCCGCCTCGGCCTCCCAAAGTGCTAGGATTACAGGCGTGAGCCACCACACCTGGCCCCACTGGTCTTTTTACTATTGTCATAGTTTTAACTTTTCTAGACTGTCATATATTTGAAATAATACCTTTTGTACTGGCTTATTTCACTTAGTAATTTTCTCATGTGTTTTCATTGCTTAATAGCTAATTTTTTGTATTTTTAGTAGAGACGGGGTTTCACCGTGTTAGCCAGGATGGTCTCGATCTCCTGACCTCGTGATCTGCCCGCCTCAGCCTCCCAAAGTGCTAGGATTACAGGCGTGAGCCACCACGCCTGGCCCCACTAGTCTTTTTACTATTGTCATAGTTTTAACTTTTCTAGACTGTCATATATTTGGAATAATACCTTTTGTACTGGCTTATTTCACTTAGTAATTTTCTCATGTGTTTTCATTGCTTAATAGCCCATTTCTTTCTAGAGCTGGATAACATTACATTGTCACCTTTTGAAGGACATCTTAGTTGTTTCCAACTTTTGACA